>NC_000012.12:43369218-43520734 GCF_000001405.40 Homo sapiens | reverse complement strand
ATAACTTGTTAATGGTGTTTTAAAGAGTCAGCTTAAGCTTCTAAATCTATGTAGAGATGACTATAGAGATATTCTCCTTTCCAACATGTTTACTGGAACTACTCTTTCAAAGATCACTTATGACCTTCTACTTGCTAAAAGCATTAATCTTTCTTGGTCTTACTGTTACAGTTTTGAGGAACATGTCACACTATCCATCAGCTTATCCTAACTGAATTTTCTTATGTCTTTGGCTTAACTGGCACACTTTGCTTTTAACTTTGCTTCTTTTCTTTCTTTCTTTCCTCCCACTTCCCTTCTTGGTTGTTACTGGTTTCCCATCTCCTAAGTTAAGCATTTTTTAAAGTGCTCTTCCTGGACCACCATTTTAGACTATGTTTTAATTTAGATTATGTATTTTTTTCTACTTTCTTAATTTTAACTACAAATTTAAATGATACATGATGTTAAAACTTTAACTTAAGCGCTTGTTTTTAGATTAAAACTCAGGTCTATAAACTGCCTGATGTGCATGTTTTCTTGGATGTACCAGTGATATCTTAGATTCAGTACAGTTAAGCCTGAAGCCATTCTCTCTCTTTTACCTCTCTCTTCACCTACATCCTCCAAAAGAAGCCTTTTTTGTGCCTAATTTATTTTTTCACATTTAAAAAAATTTTAACTGAGGTATTAGCAAATATAATACAGGCTGTGGTAAAAGAACAAGAACTAGAAATAGTGCAAAACTGCCCAGTTTTTTGTTAAATCATTTCTTTTTTGCCATGGCATTTAATAATTTTGTGTATATTCTAGCAAATTGGGATTATTTGATGACCACTCTTCAGATTTTTTATTTGGGAGGTGGAGAGGCTGCAGGTAGAAAGACCAAGGTGATATTAAGGTTGTAACTTTCAAAATCTGATTGTACAACAGCAAATAAGATAAATTTCTGAATTCGTTATCTCTCTCTTTTGTATATTGAGTACTAACTCTGAAGGAATCAATGTGTAGCATTCAGCTGAAAAGAGAAAATATAGCATAGAGTGAATAAATGAAAAGTTTCTTACCATGGGGTAGGTGTGCCGGGAGAAGAAATGAGAAGGAAAGCCAGAAGAGTGCAGTGGTAAGATGCATACAAGTTTTTCATGCTCCACGTTAGAATATGAGAGTGGAGTTGGACATTGAATAAGTGAAGAAAAAAGTTGATTGCTAAGAGGAGACTCCTGTTCTTGTTCCACATAAGAACTCTGCAAGATGAGGTGTCAACCTTGCCCCAGCATGGGTTTTTTTTTATTTGTTCATTTATTCATAAAATATTTACTGAATACCTTCCTCACTGTTGCAGGACTATCCTGTACAAGTGCAGTGAGGGAGGAAAGAGGGTTGTAGGAAATCAGCAAGAAATTAGTAGAAATAATGGTAGTGGGAGGCCAGATCATGTAGTTATGGGTGGCTCCAGGTTGTGGAATCCTGAAGATTAAACAGTTGCAGTGCTCTTTAATAGAAAATTATGAATACATAATTTTTAGAGACCAAAAGTTTAAGCTTTTTTTAGGTTCATGGTGAATCCACCTCTACATTTAGGACATTTTAAGTCACAGTACTGAATCTGGCTAAACTCTAACAGTGGAAGCTACTGTCAGATATGGAGCATAGTAATGACATAATCAGTCCACATTTTAAAGAGATCACTCAGATTATGTGGGAAAAAAACTAGGGGAACAAGCAAAAGCAAGAAAATCAATTAGGAGGTACTGCAGTATACTGCAATAATTGTGTTAAGAAGTGGTGAGGTGCTGAATCAGGGTGGTAACTATGAAGAAAGCGAGAGGTGTCCAGGTATTGCGTTTATTTTGATGGTCAAGCTGACAGGTAAGTTGTAGGTGAGGGCTGAGAGTAAGAGAGTTGTCAGATTATTCTTTTTTTTTTTTTTTTTTTCCTGAGCCAGTGGAAGGATGGAGTTCTCGTTTACTAAGATGAGGAAGTCTGTGGGAAATACAAGTTCAGGAGGGAATATTAACAACTAGGTTTTAGGCATTTTGAGTTTGAGGTGCCTGTTAGAAATCCAAAGGGAGAGAAGTAGGCAATAGAGTAAGTGAACTGGAACATCAGTAGAGGGGTTTAGGCTTGAGATAAGAATTTAGGAATCAGAATACCAATGATTTTTAAAGATATAAGGCTGAATGAGATTGTCTGGGGAATAGACTAGATAGAGAGACAGAAAAAATAAAAATCCAAAGACTGAACTATGGGGCATGCCAATACTTGGCAGTTGGGGAGATGAGGAGAAATCAACTAGGAAGATTGAAAGGTAGAGGTCAAGGACATTCTAAGAAGACTGAGGAATGTTTGCCCAAAAACCACTTGAGGAAAGATTTACAAGAAGGTAGGACTGATTAGTTGGCTAAATGGTATCAAGAATTCAAAGCACTTGAAGATTTAGAATTGATTACTGGATTTTGCAAAGTAGGTGATTGGTGACCTTAACAAGCTAATTGGAATGTGCTTGAGAATATTTGCATAAGTAAAACTTATAAAACTTAGGTATCATAAAGGAGAGTTAAGAGTTAGATGAATTGTCTTTAGTTCTTCCTTGTTGGAGACTAATCCTATTGTGGTGAAAATCTTCATTAAGAAAAAAGGTGATATATTGAACTTTGGGATATAGCATTAAGTAAAACGAAATTAAATGCCTTTTTGAAAATAAGAACTTGATTTATCAATAATTTGAAACTTTGACTTATTCCTTTATGAAAACCCAAAAACAGTGAAAAATAAAATTATCAATAGCAATGTTAGTAAAACCTTATCTTGTAAAAGATAATTGAGATATTTCAAAGGAATTTTAAAAACTTAGCATATATAACATTTATTCAAGAAGTATCTATATTGTAGATCTGTTTTGGACATTGATTTCTCTTCCATTGGTCTATTTGTGCCAATGTCATACTGTTTTAGAGATATTATAGCTCTGTTATAAGTCTTGATATGTTGGAGGAAGCCTTTGACTTCATTCTTCTTCAAGATTTTCTTAGCCATTCTTGACCCTTTAAATTTTACATACAGAGTTTAGAATCATCTTGTTTCCCAAAAGAAAAAAAGAGATATCTATTGTACTTCATTGAGTCAACAGATCAGTGTGGTGGTGAAATCACATCTTTATAATATTGTGTTTTCTAACCCATGAATACGTTATATCGTCAATTTATTCTTTAATTTACCAAATAATATTTAATAGATTTCTTTGTGGAGGTCTTCACATCTTTCGTTAGTTTTCTTCTTGGGCATTTGGTGGGTTTTCTTTTGACAGTATTGTAAATGATATCATTTAAAAATTTTATTTTCTAACTGTTTTGTTTATTCTATATAAAAATGCAAGCATTTTAAAATATTGGCCCTATATTCAGCAACCTTGCTAAATTTATGTCCTCTAGTGGTTTATTTGTTGATTCTTTTGGATTCGGTACCTTGGTAATCATGTAGACAGTTTATTTCTTCCTTTCCAATCTTTCAATATTTTATTTATTTTTCTTGTTTTGTTACGTTGGCTAGTTTTTCTAGAACTGTCCTTAGAAATAGCAATAACAAAAATCCTTGCCTCATTTCAAGTTTTAGAATGAAAGCTTTCAACCTTTTCTAATACATATAATGTTTGTTGTCGGTTTTTCTTAGGTACCCTTTATCTGATTAAGGAAATTCTCCTAAATTTCTAGTTTACTAAGAATCTTTATTATGAATGGATGTTGAATTTTATCCAGCTTTTTCCCTGCATGTACCAAGATGATTATATAGATATATAAATATACATATTTCCTTTTATTAAGTTAATGTGATGAATGTGATTGATTCTCAAATGTCATGTCTACCTTATATTTTTGCCAGTCTTGGTTTGATAATGTTATCTTTAGAATTTTTGCATCTATGTTCAAGAGTAAAAAATTTAGTTTGTAATTTTCTTTTTTTTAATTATACTTTAAATTTTAGGGTACATGTGCACAACGTGCATAGTTTGTAATTTTCTTGTGTTGGATAGAAGAAGAGCAAGGATGATGAGGGCCTATTGAAGGGAATGATTAAAATAATGGACCATACGATATAAGCTCTGTAAGGACATCATTTTTGTTTTATACAGTTGATACTCATTTAGATTTACTCACCAGGTAAAGAAGATAAGTGAAAACAAATAGATTTGTAGAGAGCAAGATATACAACTTTTTCTATCTAAAATAGTAGATCACTAATCAGCCCTGTAGCTCCTTTTATAGTTTTCCTTTGGTCTACCAACCACTTAATTGTAAATGCTTAGTGAAGTCAATTTGAATCTTTGGCTCTAGTAGAGAGCTGCTTAGCCACATGATGCTTTGCTTATGAAAAGGAAGCAGTAATTCTAATTATTTGCAATTAGAATCTGATTCAGAATTGCACCATTCAGAAGCAGCCCTATTTTTAAAGACATTGACACGTCTGACTGGGCTGCATTCACAGAGTACAAATGCAAGGGAAAACTGCAAAAGGAGGATGGTTCATGGTTTTGGCTGGCCCTAGCATGTGTTCAGTAATTTGTAAAGGTCATATGTTGGAGTGAGTTGGAGCCATCACCAGGACAGGAAACAAATATAGTGTTTCATGTGGCGAGCATCTCAGACTACTGGACCTCAGGACTAATGTTTTCTCCCTTGAATGAGAGCCAGAAAACTGAAGGCGGTGGGGCGGTGGGGTGGGGGAGATGCTCCCTACCCACTCTGACCTGTCAGTCTGCAATTTCTTTTGCATGTATTCAGTTGTATCCAGATACTAGATTTTTCTTGGTGTTAAATAAGATCGACTAAACATTCATTTGAAAAATGGTGAATTATTAAATTCTGGGATGTAGCATAAAATAAAATACCTGTTTGAAAATAAGTGTTCTATCTATAAACAATTTTAAAGTTTGATTTTTTCCTACTTTTGTCAACATCTAAAAATAGTGAACTTAGTAACAGCTGACAAAAGCCATGTGAATAAAACTGATTCCATAATCAACATATTAAGTACTATTAATATATCACATAGAATTTTTGTTTCTAACATTTAATATTCATTTAGTGACAATCTTTTAATTACATCTCTAAGTTTTTTAACACTAGATTTACTTTGGAAAATATCTTAAATATTTCTTATTTTACAAAATCTTTTAAGGAAATATAAAAGGTTAGATGAACATTTCATATGAGAATGCTGTTGTTTTCAGTCAAAAGCTCTTTCAGAAATTACAGAGCCAGGAGGAGTAAATGTAGATTAATAAAAAAATTGGCAATAGTAGCATTAGAATTGAGTTAAAGTGTAAACTTAGCTTACATCTTAGATATCTGAATTATGACTTTTTAAACAAATATTCATCATAAATTACAGAGTTAATAACAAAAGGAAAAGCTCATACTAATATTTCATCAAATTATTTGAAAATGGTGTTGAAAATAGTATTATATCAATACTTGAATTGATGGAGTAAATAGAGAAGTTAAAAATTATAAATGGTTACTTTGAATTACCTTTGTATTTTGGAAAGTATTTTAGAATTCTTAGTACTTAAAATTATCTCAATGGTATTTCTAGAATGATTTTATGCACATGGAGCAGATAGTTAGAGATTGTGGTTGATCTAGCTCAGAAACAACCTGTATAAAAGTTTGAAAAACAAAAGGGAGTTATTTGTTGTCTGCTGTTAAATCATAGTCAGTGGACATGGCTTGGAAATGGAGTGCCATGAAGGCTCATCTGAAAATAGGAAGATAAGATTAATGTAGTAGAATCATGTATTACTGTGAATTTTAATAGCGTTATGCCATGTTCTAATTTCAGCAGCCTCACACATTTGCAAGAGTCACTCAGTAGATATCGATATTCAGCATGAATTCTGAACACATGGTTTTTCTTTAAAGAACAAAATGATACATTTCATTTACATGTTCAAATGCTAGAGTATATATTTAATTCACTGATATAAGATTTTCAAAAGCACATCTTTTCAAGAAATAATAGAGGAAGAGTTTGGAATATCACAATGCTATACATATAATAATCCATCTAAATCTGACATTAGGATCCATTGGTTCATCTTAGTCCGACTTCTTCACTTAGAATTTCTGGCAAATTGCATTTGAAGATGTGGAATGCTTTTTTTTTTTTTTTTTTTTTTTTTTTTTTTTTTTTTTTGAGATAGAGTCTCACTCTGTCACCGGCCTAGAGTGCAGTAGCGAGATCTTGGCTCACTGCAACCTCTGCCTCCCTGGTTCAAGCTGTTCTCCTGCCTCAGCCTCCCGAGTAACTGGGATTACAGGCACGCGCCACTACACCCAACTGATTTTTGAAATTTTAGTATAGATGGGGTTTCCCATGTTGGCCAGGATGGTCTCGATCTTCTGACCTCATGATCTGCCTGCCTCGGCCTCCCAAAGTGCTGGGATTACAGGCGTGAGCCATCCTGCCTGGCCGGAAAAGCATTTCTTAAAATGCAAAAGGTGAGGCCAGGCATGGGGGCTCATGCCTTTAATCCCAGAGCTTTGGGAGGCAGAGGTGGGAAGATTGCTTGAGCCCAGGATTTCAAGACCAGCCTGGTCAATATAGTGAAAGAAAATGCAGAGGGCTACACAAATGATCCCTCACTTTTTTTTTTTTTTTTTTTTTTTTAGAGTTTATTCTCTCTTTTTTTTAAAATTATACTTTAAGTTTTAGGGTACCTGTGCACAACCTGCAGGTTAGTTACATATGTATACATGTGCCATGTTGGTGTGCTGCACCCATTAACTCGTCATTTAACATTAGGTATATCTCCTAATGCTATCCCTCCCCCCTCCCCTCACCCGCAACAGGCCTGGGGGTGTGATGTTCCCCTTCCTGTGTCTATGTGTTCTCATTGTTCAATTCCTACCTATGAGTGAGAACATGCGGTGTTTGTTTTTTTGTCCTTGCAATAGTTTGCTGAGAATGATGGTTTCCAGCTTCATTCATGTTCCTACAAAGGACACGAACTCATCATTTTTTATGGCTGCATAGTATTCCATGGTGTATATGTGCCATATTTTCTTAATCCAGTCTATCATTGTTGGACATTTGGGTTGGTTCCAAGTCTTTGCTACTGTGAATAGTGCCGCAATAAACATACGTGTACATGTGTTTTTATAGCAGCATGTTTTATAATCCTTTGGGTATATACCCAGTAATAGAATGGCTGGGTCAAAATGGTATTTCTAGTTCTAGATCCCTTTGTTTTAATGCTCTTCAAGTGTAGACGTTAAGATGCCAAAAGCTGTAAAGAGACAGCAGGTGTGCATGTTCCTTTCCATTAAAAAAATCTTAAAAGGCTTTGAGTTCGTGAATGAACATGTGCCTGTTTTCAGTTCCCAATGTATGCAGGAATCTTCCATGCAGCTTTTAAGGGAAGTGTGTCTTATACTTTAGAACAAGTCCTATGGGTTGGTTTCTTGAGAATGTGGAAGAATAAAAAATATTTACTCTGTGACGCTTGACCAGTGTGCTCCATTGTCTTGTTAGTACACATAGTGGGAGGAGGTAGAATGTTTTGATATCTGTAGGATTAATGGGGGTAATTTGGGGGTTTCTAGTGCCTTCTTTTTTCCTTCAAGTTCACTAGATGAAAGGACAGTATCAGATTTGTCTCAGGTTTTTATTCTAAGTAGAGCCAAAAGCCTTTATATCCAAATCTTGTCTCAGTTCTATGCTTCTACAATGCAAGGAGGACCTCTGTAATGCATATTTTTGTGAACATGAGTAGCTAGTCTTTTAGTCTTCTAGGAATCAACATTTACCAACATGACCCTGGTTACTACATTCTCAACAGTCTTCATATATTACCACATTCAACCTTTAGAAGAGTCATGTGATGTGGAGTTCAGCTGTAATAATTGATACTGAGAAATCTGAATTCATATATTTGCTATGCCATTTATTCAGTTGGTGGCTGTTGAAATTTCACCTAATCTGTGTCACATGTCTCTATGTTTTAAAATGTACACAATAATAGTAAGTGATTCAGGGGATGCAAGGAAGACTGATGGTGTAATGATTTGTTTCAAGTTTCAGCTGGCCACTGGCAAGTTCATAACCTTCTGCAAATTTATTATTAGTAGTTGGGGCCCCAATTATTAACTCGTGAAACTCTTTGAAAAAAGTACTATAAAATATTTGATAAGCTGCAAGCCATAATTCTAAAGTACTGGTTGAAATTTCTAATAATATTGAGAAATCACAGAGGACTGTAGATTTTCATACACTTTTATGTTATGAAACACTACTAATTTTTAAAATAAATATATTTCAGGTTTATATTTTATTAGTTATATTACAATAGGCAGTTTAACCTTCCTGTTCCTCACTTTTCTTAGATATAATAATAATAATATCCTCATATATAAATATAAAATTATTATCCTCATATATAAAATGAGGGTATTTTATTTTATTAGTTATATTACAATAGGCAGTTTAACCTTCTTGTTCCTCACTTTCCTTATATATAATAAAATATTATCTTATATAAAATTATGATTATTATTATCATCATATAAAAATTATCCTCATATATAAAATGACGATAATAATAGTACTTACCTCATAGGGTTTTTGTTAATGCTAAATGAGATAACATATGTGAAGTGTACGAGTACCTGATATGTAATAAGCACTCAGTATTATATCTTTATTGTTATTGATAATAGTATTAATAAGAAAACTCAATAGTGTGGCAACATAGGGCATATAATAGATCCAGAAAACAATTTAAATCATAAGAAAATGTGAGATTTCACAATACATCTGATATGGTCACACTTTATCTCAAGGGTCACCCAGGTATTTGATCTGTTGCACATTCAGCAAGTTGTTTGAGATGTTAAGTCTAGAACAAGTATTATTTCACTTTTATGTCCTCATTTAAAAAATGGATTGTTGCATGTTAGTGAAGAAGTGTAAAATGTGTTTCCTTATCTGGTCAAATATAGAGCATTATATCAATTCTAGCCTGTGTACAGACATCAGAATTAACATTGTACTTAATTTTAGGCAAATCAAAGAGCACATATCTGTCTTTGAATTGTTCCTATTGTACATCACAATTATTGTTCCTACCCTGAAGATCTGGCCTGATAAACTCTTTTGTCTTGCTCTTCAATATATTCTTTTCTTTCATTTCCCTCTCTCACTACCTTTCTTCTTTCTATCTCTCTCCTCCATTATCCTGCCTTTCTTCAACCTAATCCTTTTTCTTTCTTTCCACGAACATTTACTGAGCACTTATAAAAGGCAGAACATATTGCCCAACAGTGTTCTCAGTCTTTAGGGAATTTATAGCTTGGTGGTGGTGACTGTGTTTAGGGGTGGGCTAGTAGGGAGAGGCTTAGATTTTATCTTATGGGCAGTGAGGATCCATTATATCTCATCCTAAATAGGGATGAGATAAAAGGAATGTTTCTAAAAATGAATCTTTTTGGACATAAATGAAGGATGAATGGGAGGGACAAGAGATTGAAGACAGCGGGAACATTTGGGAGACTCCGTGTCTAATTTTGTATTCATTATTCTAATAATGTTCTGAGGTGAGAAGGACCTGAATGAGTTTGGAGGCAAGGACTCTGCAGGAGAAGCAATACAAGGAGCATTTTGAAGGAGAAATGGCCAAACTTGGTGACTAGATACAAAGGGTGAAGGAGGGATAGGAGGAGCCCAATGGTAATGTTCAGTTTTGAATATCAGTTATAGGTATCGGGAGACTATTTCTCACATTAATAGAAAGATAAACTTTGTATGGGAGAAGAAAATGATGAATTCAGCTTTGCATGTTTAAATATGAGGTGCCAGTAGGACATCCAAGTAGAATTATGGGATTCTAATTATATTATTATTTAACAGTAATTTTCTAGTAGTTTATATTCTTATTATTATTTTAACATCCTCCTTGCATTCTAGAATACACCATGCTGTTATAAGAGATATTCAATGTTTGTAATTTTCAAGTGTTTTATGCTCTAGTGGGCAGATTATCATTGTTGCATGGTGTGCGTGATTTTGTATTTTGGTTTGGTCTAAATTAGTTTTGGGTCTTAATACGCTTGTTATTAATAAAAGACAACACAGTATTTTAACATTTGACTCAATGGGACCTAAATAGAAAGGGATGTATTACATAGAAATGATGTAATTGAACTGGCCAATGTGCTTTGAATAGTGGCCATTTATGTAGGGTATTTGGAAAGGTAAGGAATTGTATCAACATTTGTAACACCACTTAGGTATAAATACAAAAAAAAAAAGTAATGAGATTAGATATTTAGCCAAGAAAATAGTAATATATGCTGTTTTTAAAAATAATAATTTAAATTTAAAATTACAGTAATAAAATAAGCTCATTGTAATAATTTAAAGGGCACCGAGATGTTAAAGAAAGCATGTAATAGTTTTACTGTCTCTGTCTTCTGTCTCACTTACTGTTAAATGTTTGGGGTGTATACCTTTTAGGCTCATTATACAAATTTTATGAGTACTTGTATATTTGGAAGAGTTTGTTTTTACAAAACTGGGATTAAACTACACACACCATTTATATTTTTACTTAAAAATGCATTCTGGACATCCTTCCATATCAAAATTTATAGACCTAATTCATTCATTTAACAACTGCCTAACATTACATTATTCAACTACTTCTCTATTGAGGATTATTGTCTTAATTGGTTTCTTATTTAGTCTCCTGGGATTTTCAGTTATGCAAGGCTTTCATCTACAAAATAAAATCAGAACAATGAAAAAATTTTCTTCCTAATATTCATACTGTTTATTTCATTTTATTTTCTTATTGCTTTAGCTAGTATTACCAAAACAATTTTATATGATAGTGATGAGAGCCAGCATATTGCTTTTATAGCAGTCAGTTTGGTATATTACTATTTACTAAGAACTTATTAATAATATAACACATATTGATGAATATATGACCCAATACAATATATAAGACCTGGATAACAACCCAAATGCAACCACATAATTTCACTTCCGTCACCCATTTTGTTCACTTGCCTCCCCTTACCTGAAGCAACCAGCATTCTTAATTCCATGTTTGTCATCTCCTTGCTTTCTTCTTCTTACGTGATGTTATTATACCCATATATGACATATATTTTTATTTTAGTTTTTAACTATATTTTAAAAACTATGTTGGATTTAATTTTCTCACTTTCCTTACTTACAGTGACAACATTTATTAACACTGTTGTGTGTTCAAGTAAGAAATTATAGATCTCTTCTAAATTGTTCAATTACTTTGCCAAAGAGTTGTATAGAATGTTCTCTTATGGTTGATTCCATTGCTGATGAAATTAAACCCCTGAGATCTGTATTGATAACATTATCAATATTTATATTGATAACAATATCAATAACAACAACCAAAATTTGTTGTTAAATTTTGGTTCTCTTTCCTTTTGTTTTTAAACGTCATTGTCAAGCAGAGTCCCTGTGTCATTCTATTATAAAGATAAATGCACACATATATTCATCGCGGCACTATTTCCAATAGCAAAGACATGGAATCAACAAATGCCAATCAATGATAGACTGGAAAGAGAAAATATGGTACATATACACCATGGACTACTATGCAGCCATAAAAAGGAACGAGATCATGTCCTTTGCAGGAACATAGGTACAGTTGGAAGCCATTATCCTCAGCAAACTAACTCAGGAAGAGAAAACCAAACAACTTATGTTCTCAATATTTATAAGTGGGAGTTGAACAATGAGAACACATGGACACAGGGAGGGGAAAAACACACACTGGGGCCTGTCAGGGTTGGGGGAGGGAGAACTTCAGGAAAACTAGCTAATGCATGCTGGGCTTAATACCTAGTTAGATAGAATGAATAAAGTCTAGTACAACAAGGTGACTACAGTCAGCAATAATTTATTGTACATTTCAAAATAACTAAAAGAGTATAATTGGATTATTTGCAACACAAGGAAAGGAGAAATGCTTGAGATGATTTATACCCCATTTACCCTGATGTTATTATGTACTATATGCCTCTATCAAAATATCTCATGTACCCCATAAATATATATACCTGCTATGTACCTACAAAATATTTTTTAATAATAAAAAAATTTTAATTAAGAAAACACTCTGAACCAGGTCCCCAGGATTTGAATCCCAGCCATGCTACTGATTAGTTAACATATGGCTAGATTTTGTTCATTAACTCATTTCTATAAAGTTTCTGTTTTTTGGTGGACAAATTCAACCCATTCAGTTTTATCATGGTAAATGATCTGTTTAGTTTTGTTCCTTTTATTTGTTTTTATTTCTACCTCCATTACTTAGCAACTGTGTGAGTTTCTTAAGCTCTGTATGTTGTAGATTCCTCATCTGTAAAATGAGATTAACAATAGCACCTATCTTATTTGGTGTTATTAAATGTTTCAATGATAATGATAATAATATTCTTTAAAAATTTATGCTTTTTTATTGCAGACTTTTTTTCTGTGATCTAATTATCATCTCCTTCAGTGTTCTCATTTCAGACAGAAACTGTTTCTTTCATCATTTTATTTTATTTTTTAGCTTTTATTTTAGGTTTGGGGTACATGTGCCAGTTTGTTATGTAGGTAAACCTGTGTCACAGGGGTTTGTCGAACAGATTATTTCATCACCCAGGTACTAAGCCCAGTACCCAATAATTATTTTTTTTCTGCTCCTCTCCCTCCTCTCACCCTCCACTCTCAAGTAGGCCCTAGTGTCTGTTGTTCCACTCTTTGTGAACTTGAGTTCTCATCATTTAGCTTCCACTTGTAAGTGAGAACATGCAGTATTTGGTTTTCCATTCCTGCATTAGATTGTTAAGGATAATGGCCTCCAGCTTCATCCATGTCCTCCAAAAGATACCTCGTTCCTTTTTATGGCTGCATAGAATTCCATGGTGTATATATACCACGTTTTCTTTATCCATTCTGTCATCGATGGGCATTTAGGATTATGAATAATGTGGCAGTCTTTCATTATTTTAGTTTGCACAGAAACCATCTATTCTAGTTTAGTCTCTGTCAGCCTGATTTCTTCAAACCATAGTGCTTTCTTAATTGAATTGTGTTGTTTTTTACTTATTATTGTTAGCCATTGAGATATATAATTTCTTAGCACTTAGGCCAGACAGACTTTGGGAGATTCTGCAGGCAGTGCGATATTAACAGGCAGTAGAAGATAAGATGGGATTTGTTCTTCTGCTAGAGACAAGTGGTAAATTACTTGACAAGAGGGATGCTTTCTTTTGAGGAGTGTGGAGAAGGCTTTTCTCTTCTTAGATGAGGGCCGCTTGTAGTCCCACATTGCAAATCATATCCAGTGCTGCTACATCAGCTAGCATAGTCAGCCTTTCCCAGAATAGGATGCCACGTATGGACAAGGAAAGCATCTCTTGCTGAAGCTTTGTTCATTATCACTTCCCCCACCCCAGCTTTATTGATGTATAATTCATTGATAAAAACTGTATATATTCAAGGTATACATCATGATGATTGATATATGTATACATGCAAAATGATTACCACAATCAAATTAACACATCATCACCTCACAGAGTTACCAATTTGTATGTGTGTGGTGAAAACACATAAAAGCTATTCTCTTAGCAAATTTCCATTAAATAAGACAGTATTATTAATTATAGTCACTATGCTGTACATTCAATTCCCAGACATTATTCATCTTATAACTAGAAGTTTGTATGTCTGACCAGCCTCTCCTCGTTTCCCTCACTCCCCAGCTCCTGACAACCACTGTTCTACCCTTTGTGAAACTTAGTTCTTGTCCTTTCTAGTTTTCTCCTGTGGACAGACATTTGGGTTGTTTTTAGGTTTTACTATTATGAATAAAAGTGCTATAAACATTCTTTGAAACATTTTTTAATTGTGGTAAAAAAAAAAAAAAAAAGGTGGCCAGGCACGGTGGCTCACGCCTGTAATCCCAACACTTTGGGAGGCTGAGGCGGGCAGATCACAAGGTCACGATATCGAGACCAGCCTGACCAACATGGTGAAATCCTATCTCTACTAAAAATACAAAAATTAGCTGGGCATGGTGGCGCACGCCTGTTATCCCAGCTACTCAGGAGGCCGAGGCAGGAGAATTGCTTGAAGCCGAGAAGCGGAGGTTGCAGTGAGCCGAGATCGCGCCACTGCACTCCATCCAGCCTGAGGCGAGACTCTGCCTCAAAAAGAAAAAAAAAAAAAGGTAACATGAGGTTTGCCATCTTAACCCTTTTTACGTGTGCACTTCAGTAGTGTTAAGTATATTCACATTGTTATGCAACAGATCTCCAGGACTTTTTCATCTTGCAAACTGAGACTATATACATTCACAACTCCCCATTTTCCCTTTCTCTATCCCCTGGTAACCACCAGTATACTTTTTGTTTCAGTGAATTTTACTATTTTAAGTATCTCATTTAAGTAATATCATACAGGATTTAAAAAAAAAAACTGGCTTATTTGACTTAGCATGATAACTTCAAGGTTCATTCATGTTGTCATATGTCACAGCATGTCCTTCCTTTGTTGTTGTTGTTGTTGTTGTTTTTGTTTGTTTGTTTTAGAGGTGGAATCTCATTCTTACCCAAGCTGGAGTGCAGTGGTATATCATAGCTCACTGTAGCTTCAAACTTGGAGGCTCAAGTGATCCTCCCACCTCAGCCTCCAGAGTGGCTGGAACTACAGGTGCATGCCACCACACATGCCTTCTTTCCTTTTATATACTGAATAATATTTCATTGTATGTGTATACTACATTTTGTTTATTCATTCCTTTGTCAATGGACATTTGGGTTGCTTCTACTTCTTAGCTATTGTAAATAATACTGCAATGAACCTGGGTGTACAAATAGCTCTTCAAGACCCTGCTTTCATTGTTTTTGGATATTTACCCCAGTAGGATTGCTGGATCATATGGTAGTTCTATTTTTATTTCTTAAGGAACATCCATATTGTTTTCCGTAGTGGTTATACCATTTTACAACACTACCAACAGTGCATAAGGTTTCCAATTTCTCCACATACTTGTCAACATTTGTTATTCTCTCTTTCTCTCTGTTTTGTGTGTGTTTAATAGTAGCCATTCTTATGGGTGTGAAGTGATATTGTGGTTTTGATTTGCATTTCTTTAATGATTAATTGTGCTGAGCATCTTTTCATATGTGTGTTGATAATTTGTATAATGTATTTGGGAAAGTGTTTATGCAAGTCTTTACTCATTTTTAATCAGGTTGTTTGTTTTCCTGTTGTTGAGTTGCAGGAATTTTTTTATATTCTAGATATTAATTCCTTATCAGATATATAGTTTGTAAATATTTTCTCCTAATCCATAGGCTGCTTTTTTGCTTTGTTGATTGTGTCCTTTGAACAATAATTTTTTAAGTTTGATGTAGTCCCATTTGTCTATTTTTGCTTTTGTTGCCTGTGCTTTTGATGCCATATCCAATAAATCACTGCCAAATCCAATGTTATGAAACACTTTCTCTATGTTTTCTTCTAGGAGTTTTAATATCTTGGGTCTTTTAGATTTGTAACTCATTTTGAGTTAGTCTTTCTATATTGAGTGGTCTTGGCACTCTTGTCAAAAATCATTTGATCATATACACAAGGGTTTATATCTGGGGTCTCTATTGCAGTTCATCAGTCTATATATTTGTTTTGCTATGAACTTATACCAGTTTTCTTGTGAATGTATATTTTCCTTCTCTTAGATAAATACCTAGGGGTGGAACTGCAATGTCATAGGGTAGATGCATGTCTAATTTAAAATTTGCCAGATTGGTTTTCAAAGTGATTGTACCAGTAGGTATTATTGCTCTTTGTAATTTTAGTCATTCTGGTAGGTAGAATCATATTTTTTTTTGTCTCTTGGTTGAATTGGTATTGAAGCACCTAAAGATACCTGAAATTTTATCTTTACTATGTTGTTAATTTATTTTTTGCCTCTTTCAACTAGAGTGTAAGCTTTATGAGGTGCTATTTGCTCCTCAATACCTAAATGTTTCCTGATATGGATTAGACATGCAATATTTCCTTTAAATTAACAAATAAATCAAAGCATAAATATTTATCTTTTCCTTGATTGAGATTTCTATATATCAGGTATATCTGGGATCTCCTCTAGGGTCCAGTAATTGGTCATGGATATTTTAGTGACCAAGTCACTTCAGGAGAAAATGGCAAGAAAAAGTTTTAGGACTGCACAATTTGTCAAATTTCCAGAATTTTCCACTGAGATAAATTTTAAAACCTAGGAACATAACAATATTAAAAGCTAGATGTTTTTAGGAATTAGAAAAAGAAGTTCATAGACACTTTTCAAAAGAAGACATACAGGTAGCCAACAAACATATGAAGAAATGCCCAACATCACTAATCGTTAGAGAAATGCACATCAGAACCATGATGAGATACCATCTCACATCAGTCAGAATGGCTATTGCTAAAAAATAAAAAAAATAATAGATGCTGATGAGGTTGTGGAGAAAGGGGAATGTTTACACACTGCTGGTGGGAGTGTAAATTAGCTCAGCCACTGTGGAAAGCAGTGTGGCAATTCCTCAAAGAACTAAAAACAGAATTGGCATTCATCCCAGCAACCCCATTATTGGGCATATACCCAAAGGAATATAAATTGTTCTATAAAGACACATGCATGTGTATGTTCACTGCAGCACTATTTAAAGTAACAAAGACATGGAACCAACCTAAATGCCCATCGGTGACAGACTAGATAAAGAAAATGGTGGTACATATATACTATGGAATATTATGTAGTCATAAAAAGAATAAGATCATGTTCTTTCAACAACATGAATGGAGCTAGAGGCCATTATCCTTAGCAAACTAATGCAGGAACAGAAAACCAAATACTGCATGTTCTCACTTGTATGTGGGAGCTAGATAACAAGAATACATAGACACACCAAGTAAAAGACACCTGGGCCTACTTGAGGGTGGATGGTGGGAGGAGGGAGAGGATCAGAAAAAAACAAATATGGGGTAACATACTTAGTACCTGGGTAACGAAATAATCTGTGCACCAAACTCCCATGACACGAGTTTACCTGCAGAACAAACCTGCACATGTACGCCTGAACCTAAAATAAAAATTAAATAGAAAAAAAAGAATAAGACGAATAAAATTTTTTATATTAATTAAAAAAAATTCATCTGTGGAAACTTAATGTCTAAAGTGTTCTGTTTCTTTCTTACAGCCATAGGATTACATTCGTACTTAAAATGAATTATTTTAATAATAATGAAATATGTTTTTATATTTATATCTAATTCTTATAATACAGCCATGTCTTGGTTATTGATTATTTTGGTATTGATTACTTGGTTTCTAAACTATCCAGGACCTTTATTTCTTCTCACTTGACTCCTTTGGTCCGCTTTTCTATTGAAAATACCACCACCAAACAATTGTCAGAAAAATTAGCCAAGAAAAAAGGAAGAAGTAAAGAGGAAAGGAGAGGAACAAAATGAAGGGGAGAGAAATAGGACAAGCACCTGTGCAGCCTATGAATTTTTTTTTCCATTAGGGCAATTAATTAAGATTTAAACGCACAGGCATAAATGTGTAAGTTTCTGTAAGTGCGTAGGACTTAAATGCATATTACTTCACTGTAATAATCTTTAATGTTCAATTATTTTTCATGCAGTATTTATATATAAGCAAACATAATAAATCAGGTATTTTATATAATCAAGTACTAAAAAATTTATAGGAACATTTGCCTTTCTGGATTCAATAGATTCACCCACATATTGTTATTTTGCTTAATTTTCTGTTGTTCTTGGTGCTTTTCGCATGTAGTATAAAGAAAGTTTGTTTTTTTCTATATTTTATGAAGTTTCACCCTACAAAATGGTACTACTCTGTAATGAGATTAAATGTCATTGTTGACTTGAAAACCTAATTTACATGCTGAGAAAAACATAAGAAGTCCTGGATATTTTTATTTTCTACTTGGTAGTTAATAAATGCTTTTGAATCGTCATACCTTCCTTTTCAAATATGACTTAGATAAAATTTCTTGTTGGTAAAATCTAAGAAAATGTGAACTTTTGCAAACTTTTTATTACTATAAAAAGCAATCTTCATGATAATGCTGTACAATACTATTTTAAATAACAATTTCTCTTTGTTCTTTTATTTTCATGTTGGGAACAGATATGTAAGTATTAAATATTTTTGGCTGTTCTATTTTTTGCGATATTTTTCGTCACATCCAATTTAATGGCTCTGCATTATATTCTTTTTTTCTCCCTAGAAAGTCAAATAAAGGAAACCAGTTTACCCTTTCATACCTACAGCAACATGAATGAAGATCTTAATGTAATGAAAGAAAGAGTTTTAGGACACACATCAAAAAATGTACCATTGAAAGATGAAAGAAGACATTCCAGGAAAAAACGTCTTATATCATATCCAAGATACATTGAAATTATGGTTACAGCTGATGCTAAAGTGGTTTCTGCTCATGGATCGAATTTGCAAAACTATATACTGACTCTAATGTCAATTGTAAGTAAACTTAATATGACTTTTATATTTCCTAAAATGTTTAGCTTAATGAAATTTTTTCATGTCGAATTAAATTTTTTTTCCAAACTCTTTAGATGTAATTTTGTATCTAGGTTTAAGCCAAAAATAAGATTTCATTGAAGTTTAGTTTAGATAGAGTTATAGCAAGTATCCTATTCTGTTACTTGGACACCTTTCTAAAACATTTAAAAATCCCCAAAACCTCTTATAGAAAATGCTTGAATTATTCTTTACTTTCTCACATGAATGGCTTCTGCCCTCTAGTGACAGGACTATCCTAGTTGCATTGATCTTTTTGCTCTTTGAAACTGAATTTTAAAACCTTACCCTATTTCTGCACAGAGGGGAGAAGATACTATTTTTATTATGGCTATATTCTCCAAATCAGAAATTTGGACGCTTAATATTTTAAGTTATACATGTATTTATGGCGTTAAAGGGATAGATTATTACTAATGCAACAGTCCTAACAAATTTGGAATATAAGGTCACGATAACTCTAAGGGTCCTTGATCTGATGTTACTATCTTTGTCAAGCAGTGGTAGTGCTAGTACCCACAGAACTGAATTCTAGAGCTAGTGAAGGGTGTCAATCCTGTGTAAGTGGCATCACGCTTCATCCTTACATGTGTGTGTGTGTGTGTGTGTGCGCGCGCGCGCGCGCGCGCGTATCCCCCTCCACCACCCTGGGACATTCCTGAATTAGGCCTGTTATTTTAGAGTAATCACTAAGGGTAGCCCTTTTCATGCTAGTTTAGTTGATGAATTACTGGCCAGGTGTGGTAGCTCACACTTGTAATCCCAGCACTTTGGGAGGCTGAGGCGGGAGGATCACCTGAGGTCGGAAGTTCAAGACCAGCCTAGCCAACATAGTGAAACATCATCTCTACTAAAAATACAAAAAATTAGCCAGGCGTGGTGGTGAATGCCTATAATCCCAGCTACTCGGGAGGCTGTGGCAGGAGAATCGCTTGAACCCGGGAGGCAGAGGTTGCAGTGAGCCGAGATCGTGCCATTGCACTCCAGCCTGCGCAACAAGAGTGAAACTATGACTCAAAAAAAAAAAAAAAAAAAAGAATTACATAGCCACCTATTTATAGATTCAGTGTATTTGGAACATATCTCATTGCTGGAAGTACTTCTATTCACATATAGGGAATTCAGGCCCACTTGGTTGAAAAGACTTAGCAAGGGCATATCTATAGGATATTGTAAATTTCCCTTAGCTAGATCCCAGTTCATTGTGACATGAAGATCATAAGAGACAATCATTTTTCTAAAATATGACATTTTACCTTAAATTCTTATTGTTATACCATAGTCTACGTTGCCTAAACACAGTATATGATACAGTGTGGGTACTCAATAAATAGTTACTGAAAGAATGAATGGAGACATGGTTAAAGTATTAATAAAAGTAATATTTTTTCAGAATTCAGTGCATTGTGATAAATAAAAACAAATATATAAAATGATTTTTTGAAATTGTGTAAAATTTACCCTTATTTTGTTTACTTCAATTGAATTTTTTAAAATGACAACAGAAGTATAGATAGAAATTTATCCTAATTACTTTTTTTAAATTCTGAATTTGAAGTAAAATTACCTACATATATTACCTAGATGAATAATTATCTAAATGTTGGTATGGCAAACTCTAAATTATGAAGGGATTCTAATGAAAACTATGGTGTGGAGGATGTCAGTTGATATGTACAAGATTGTATCAATTATATGGAACAATGGGATATACTTTGCAATAGAAAATGGTTAAAGGAGATGACATTCATTAAGAAAGTTGGGGCTCGGCGTAGTGGCTCACGCCTGTAATCGCACCACTTTGAGAGGCCGAGGCATGCAGATTACCTGAGGTCAGGAGTTCGAGACCAGTCTGGCCAACATAGTGAAACCATGTCTCTACTAAAAATACAAAAATTAGCCAGGCGTGGTGGCACATGCCTGTAATCCCAGCTACTTGGGAGGCTGAGGCTGGAGAATCGCTTGAGCCCAGGAGATGGAGGTTGCAGTGAGCCGCGATCATGCCACTGCACTCCAGTCTGGCCGACAGACTGAGACTCTCTCTCAAAAAAAAAAAAGCAATAAGGAAAGAAAGTTGGGTGGGAGAGATACTGAAGGAAAATACTAGATTTGATAGATTTTAAAACATGGTAAATGACAGATAACTATTGTCAGTGCTTTGGGCATACTGACTAGAAGGAATAAAGGAATAAACACAGGACCAATTTTGGAATAGTTTCATGCATTCTTGGTGACATCACCACCCTCAGAAAGGTTTTGTTATCTATATTTTACATAAAAATCAGTATTGGCCAGGCGCCATGGCTCACGCCTGTAATCCCAGCACTTTGGGAGGCCAAGGTGGGTGGATCATGAGGTCAAGAGATAGAGACCATCCTGGCCAACATGGTGAAACCCTGTCTCTACTGAAAACACAAAAATTAGCTGGGCATGGTGGCGTGTGCCTATAATCCCAGCTACTCGGGAGGCTGAGGCAGGAGAATTGCTTGAACCTGGGAATCAGAGGTTGCCACTGGGAATCTCGGTTCCCAGCCGAGATCGTGCCACTGCACTGCAGCCTGGTGACAGAGCAAGACTCCATCTAAAAAAAAAAAAAAAAAAAAAATCAGTATCATCACTGTTAGAAGATATTGTGACATACTTTGAGATAACTAAAGTTCTCCATGGAAGGTTTAAAGCCAGAGTTAATTGAAGGGAATGGAGACAGACCTTTTGACTTCATGGAAAGCAAATCTGCATCTGAGATTGCTTGAAACAACAGACCAATGCATGTGCTTATCATTTTCTGGATTTTTAGGCCTAGTAGAAAGAGAGCAGGTTTCTGTTGAAGACAGAATTTTTATAGACGCAGTCATCTGGTTTGTGTTAAGCTTTTGTTCTTAGGGAGATAGATGCAGCAAAGTTGAGGAAAAGGTGTGCATTCCAAATATAAGTGGGGTAGGAGGAAAAATTAAGGAGGGTAAGTCTCCCTTTTGAGATACTTTGAGTTTTTGTATATGCTTTCTTTCTTCCTAAGAAGCCCAATTTCAGATGACTTCTAAGCTACCTGGGTTTAGTGCTTTTCTTCTCTCTCACTGAAAGAATGTTCAAGTGAGGACATAGGAAAATTAGTAGACCCTATGGTTCTGTACATAAATTGTTGTTTTATTGGTTAAAAAACAGTGATCACAACTATATTTATGGTTGCAAAAATATTAAAGGTGAAAGGGAACTTAAGAGAAAGGGTGACAAACTCTCCCTGTTTTACCTGGAACTTGATCAGTTTTGGTATTGAGTCTCATGTCCTTGGAAACCCTTCAGTCCTGAGCAAACTGGGACTGTTGATCACACTGTGTAGCGATCAAATCCAGTCCAACTTGTTTTATTGTTACTTGTTAAGACCATTTCAAAAACCGCTTTAAAGGGGTAAGAGAAATGCTATTTGCACATAAGTGTCCACAGATATTTCTAGTTTAGGAAGGAGCTGTTCAGGTTTTGCATACTTTTTCCAGTTTTTAGAAGGCACTAACTGCATTTATTCAAACATACACATGGATTATTGGTGATATTCTGTCACGGTAATTTAGGAAAAGGTCAAGACAATGTGACATAGGCTTGGTATATGATAAAGACAAGTTCAAAGTGATGAAAAAATAATTTTTGTCTGTTGAGCTCCAAATATAAAGGGGGAAATAGGGGAATGCTTTCAGGATTGAGCAAATGGATTATATACACAACTTGGATTATCTATCCTTACTCATCCTGCACGAAGTAAACAATTGTGCTGTCTTCTTAAACTTTTTCTTTGCTTTCAACAATTTAACGAAATACCTGAGTGCAGTGATATTGAAATAAAGAATGTGACTTGATTCACTTTTTAGTTGCACTTAATGTTGTTAGAATAGGCTAGAGACCCTTCTTACTTAAAGGTTTCTGGAATTAACATTAAAATTAGTGGAGAAGAACACACTAATATATCTAGTGAAATAGTGTTTGTGTTAAATGAGCAGAGATACTCAGCTGTTATTCTAAAACCTTTATTCATAGGGAATTTGGGTGACAACACCAGGTTAAAATGGCATATATATATGCATTATTAAGCTACTAAAAATGTATGTAAACTAGAGCAGTTTTTTCTTCAGTATATTTATTTTGATACTCAATTTGTTATTTAATAGACCTTAAATATTTACTAAGTATTAAAGACTTCCACACTTCATTGTGTTTGTAAGGGTTTGACTCTATAATATTCATCCTGTTGCAGATTTAATAATGTAAGTTTAAGGAGCATCATGTAATCCTCAAGAATTAACCCTTTCATTAAATTATGGTTACTATTATTAGAGGCATATATCAACTAAAAACCCTCATTTGCATTACATTGATTTTATACCATTACTTTCAATCTTGTTAGTTGCTTTTACTGACGTTATTAGGATGGGGAAGATTTTTAACTATATTAAAATAAAAACTAATGATATGCTTTCATACTTCAGGTATAACCATTTATATTACTTTTCCCTTCAATTTAGTGCTCTGCATATTCTTAATTATTTGCACATATTCGCTTTGTATGTATGTAGAATTTCATCATTTTCAATTTAAAAATGAAAAGATCTTTCCAAAGAAGTAAAGAGTAATGATCTTTGTAAACAAAATTTGTTTGTCAAAATCAGTTTTTTATAGATGACTTTGTACTTCTTAATGAAGGTGGCCTATGAACATACCATATGTGAATGTTTGCTAAAGCTCTATCTAGAAATTATTTTCAAAATGGTTGGTAAGTTAATGGTGATAGCAATTTGTTTCATGCTTTGTATGAAGTATATTTTGCCTAGAATTTTCTTAAAGATTTCAACAATACAATTCATACCATTTCTTCTTCACCTTTCATTAAATATCCATGAAAGAATAATATTTACTATTTTATGAAACCTATAAACAAGTCAGAACTACTTAAGTGAAGGAAACTAACATTTAAGGAATGAAAGATTAAATACATTTTAAGTAGATCAATAAAAATTCGAATACATAGCACTCTAAAATGTAGTGATTAAGGTAATATATTGAAAATATTACAAGGCTTTTAGAATAGGATGATACGTTAGAAATCTGGTCTGGTGTTTCCTAAAGTGTAGTCTATGGAATGGAATATTAGTCCTATGATACGCTCCATGGTCGGGGGGCTAAGGACTACGGTCATATAGTTGCATGAAATGCTGTATATAATATCTCTGTCTCATAGATTTAATATGTGTATGTGTGTGTGTGTATGTGTGTTAGCCTATTCAAGATTCCATGAAGATATCTAATTATTTTAGCTCATTTCTCAAACTGTGGAATGATTTTGTTCTTTAAAACAAATGTCTTTCACAACTCTTCCCAACAGCACCTGGTTAATATTAATCCAATATGCAAGGACATTGTGACCCAAGGGTACCCAGTGCCTCAACATGGATATTAAAGACATTAAGACAAAAAAAATCAACTCATTTTCCAGGGTTGAACAACTAGCTTGTAGCTACTTGTTTAGAGCTGGAACTAAAGACCAGGTCTGCTGACTGCCTAGGGCTTCTCTGAGGCCACGGGCAAGTGACTATAACAGGACAATACCAGTGGCCGGGGGATGTGTTGCAGCAGGGTTTTGAAATGTCTTCAAATGTTTTGTACCAAGAACTAATTGGTTCAGAATGCTGAATAAAGATCAGATAAAGTAGTCAGTGCTCTAAAGCCAGACTGTACAGAATGAAAATTGGGTTCTGTTTGCTACCAGCTGCCTAACTTTCAGTGTCTTAGTTAACTTCTCTGTATCTTACTGTTCTTATCTGTAAAATGGACACTATAATAGTTCCTATCTCATAAGATTTGTTGTGATAATTAAATGAATTAATACATTTAAACTTGAACACATCTGGCACACAATAAACATTGAATAAATATTTTATGTATCATTTAATATTTACTCATTTATTATTTATAGCAAACGTAGTATCCTATCATCAAGGCAATCTAATTTGGGGTGGTAGTTTTAGGAAGGAGAGAAGTGCATTGTACATACTGCTTCAAAAATTCTCTGAGTACCAAATGGGCCTTGTGGCTATTCATTGCTTGAATCACAATTTAGCTTTATTGAATAGAGTTGTTCAATAACATCACCTTTAAACATCTAAATATAGTTAAAGGTATACGTATATCCTATATGAGCACTTAAATTATAAAGGTCAGTAAAACAATAAGAGATACAATTAGAAAAAATGAGCATGATGACATCCTTAATTATTTAATGAAATATACTATTTTAGTGTAAAAGCAAAATATCACTTTCTTTGGGGGAAGTAAAAATTATTTAAATCAAACCATCTGTTTTTGTATCTTTTACCCCCAGAGGACTGTGAGTTAAGGGCAGAGATTATGCCTTGTTTGGCTCTGTATATTTAGTAAGCAACACAGGGTTTGATGGGCAATAGATATTCAGTAAGTACTAAAAGAGATAATAAAGCAATCATGCTTTTGGATACTTTGCTTCCAATTTAGACATACTGTGATAATTAACTTGAAACACATGTACTAGAACTAGCATTATGTATATCTATATCTGTATTATGCCTTTTCTTCTGAAAAAGCTTTATAAGTAGCAATAAGAACAATAGCCACTGTGATTGATCCCTATGATCCTGGCTCTAATCTAAATACTATTTGCAGACCATCTCATTTAATCCTTATAGTAGCCTAGAAGTAGGTTTTATCAAATGGCTCTTAGAATTGGAACCTGTGTCTGTTTCCCTTAAATAACTATGTTTTATAGCCACTATCCACCTTGCATAACAATTGTTTGCATTATCTTTTCCTTAGTGTTACATTCAAGGATATTTTGCTGTAGTAATATATTTTAATTATACTATCAGAATATTGGGAATTTTTTTCCAAATTCTAGCTTGCAGATTTGTCACTTTTAAATAAAGGTGCAGCATCTGTTTCCTTCCGAAACTGGAAATATTTTTGTGATTATATATTTTATAGCTGATATTATAACATCCAGATTTTCATTCATAGTCAAAATACTTGGGACAATGGATATAGTAGTTAGCCATGTAGACACCTCATAGTGCATATGCTCTTTTTTCTGTGGACCACTGGATATGCATATTATTCTGAGACACAGAAGTCTTCACAGCTGTTTTTCATTTATAGGGGAAAAAGAGCTTTTATAAATACCTTTGAGGTTTGTCTTTTACCTTGTAATTTGACTTAGAAAAGCATCCACTTTTAAACTCACAGGATCAAAGTAACTCCAAAATCATAATTACAGGTGTGCTTTTTTTTTCTCCATGGTAGATGTATTTTAAAACATTGCCTGTAAAATGAATATATAAATTCAACTGTAAATTCACAGCTCCTATTTTAAAGTGAGAAATACTGCATTGCTAACAGACCTGCTTGAAATCACCAATCAGCTGACCATCCCAGTCTTAACTTACTGTCAACCCCACTGGGGCTACCTCCACTCTTGCCAAAACATGCTACCACCAGAGCCAAAGTCATCACTATAGGTACAGATGACAAACCTGTAAATATTTGAGGCTGCACAGCTATAACAGTAGTAAAGATGCTGGATTATGTATTTATGCTCATGCTGACCCTACAGTGTCAGCAGCTCTAAAGATGCTTTTGGCTCTAGTTCTGGTAGTAGTCCTTTTGGCACAAGAGACATTGGTAGCAGTCATGTTATATGTTGTGGTGAAGCAGCTTTGATAGAGTGAGGGCTCCGGTAGTGATACTTCTAACAAACTGTAAGCTTCATAAGGTCAGGGCCTTTGTCCTCTTATCTATATCTGCTTCTCTAGCCAACAAAGCAATGAGTAGATACTGAACATTTCTTTATTAAACAACTGAGGGAAGTAGCACACCCTGGAGCAATTGCTGCCTTGACTTAGGCAGTGGCCAACAAGAAGGTGATCTAGGGTTTAGAAGCAGATTTCATTGCACAGGTAGCCCAGATCCAGAGTGGGATATGCCTCTAATTAAGTACCAGGCAGAGGCATTGGCCATGGAAGACACCCCTACTGCAGTGGCAACCTCTATAATGGCTACAAGAAGAGAATATGAATTAGCGAATGGGATGGCACTTTGATCATGAATCATAAATGAGCCCATGCAGAGCCCATTCAGAGTGCCTAACATTCTCCAATCCTGGAAAATTGAGGACCAGGTTGTGACTCATGACCTCTTCTAGGGCTGTTTATATGATTCTAGATGGATCTGCCTCTATGGATTCTGGTGATGCTAAACTTTAAAAATAATAACCATATTTGGAGTTGGAAATATGCAACTGTGGCCGAAAGATTAGGTGAACTATCAGAAAAGAATAGGTAAAACTTACATATTTTTATGGAATATTGTAGTCATGTAAATTGTGGATTATGCCACAGAATGAAGTGAATTTCTTGCTGAATCATCCATAACAGCAGTTCCAAACTCTAACATGTGTTCAGATCACTTGACATCTTGTTAAAGTGCAGACTCTGAATCATTAATCCAGGGTGGGGCCTGAGATTCTGTGTTTCATATCAGCTCTAGGTTATGTGGATGCTGCTGATCCATGGATCAGTCTCAGTAGCAAGGTTTAAGATACTCAAATTTTGAGAATCTTTAAGATGCCTGAGTCTCAATCCTGCAGATTCTGATTTATTTGGTAAGGGATGTGGTCTGAACATGAGGATTTGTTAAAGCACTCTAAGAGATTCCAAGATTCCTACGTGCAGTGCAATTAGAGAATTGATACTCTGTGACTATTTCAACTTACTTTTGAGAAGAAATATTCATTTTAAACAACTAATCCTACATTTTTTTTACATGCAGGTTGCAACAATCTACAAAGATCCAAGTATTGGAAATTTGATACACATAGTAGTGGTAAAATTAGTTATGATTCACCGTGAGGAGGTAAGAAACAGGTCTAAAATTAGTAACCTTAGTTGTAGTAAGTTTTTAGTGACAATACGTAGAGATTATGGAACTCTTATTAGAAATGAGATATTTTTAAAATTTTAAAAGACTTGATTTGAGAAGGAATGAGATTACCCTTATTTGTTGTGATGGAAATAAAATAGAATGACAACAGTGTTTAACTGAGTAAAGGAAGTAACAAAAGTGAATAAACAATTCAAAAATAAAATATTGAAAACCTTAGTATTCATTTTTATAATCCTAATGTCAGAGGATTTAGAATATAGTCGTTTTTAAAAGTTTTTTTCCTAAATATTGGATGGTTGTATTAAGAAGATCTAATTAGATTCAGTTTTGATCATAATGTTTTAGATATTGCTAAAATACGTTATAGTTAATATATGAAGAAGAGATGCTGTCACTCCTTCATTCACCTGTGAGAATGCTATTTGATAAATTGTGCAGATGCTGATAAACTTGGAAGGAAAAGAGGACGTTAATATTTTGACATAGTATTGCATTGCTTATTTTGCATAGGAAGGACCAGTCATTAATTTTGATGGTGCTACCACATTAAAGAACTTTTGTTCATGGCAACAAACTCAGAATGACCTTGATGATGTTCACCCTTCCCACCATGACACTGCTGTTCTTATCACTAGGTATGATTATAGAAATAACCCTTCCCATACAATCCTTTACTCTTCCCTCCTGCATGACTGATACTTCTTCTTAATTCTTTTTTTTGTTTTGTTTTTGTTTTTCTTTTTCTTTTTCTTTTTTTTTTGAGACAGAGTCTCGCTCTGTCGCCCAGGGTGGAGTGCAGTGGCGCGATCTCGGCTCACTGCAAGCTCCGCCTCCTGGGTTCACGCCATTCTCCTGCCTCAGCCTCCCAAGTAGCTGGGACTACAGGCGCCCGCCACCACGCCCGGCTAATTTTTTGTATTTTTAGTAGAGACGGGGTTTCACCGTGTTAGCCAGGATGGTCTCGATCTCCTGACCTCGTGATCCACCCACCTCGGCCTCCCAAAGTGTTGGGATTACAGGCGTGAGCCACCGCGCCCGGCCACTTCTTCTTAATTCTTTGTTAATAATACACAGAAGTGTTCTATAAGAATTTGTATTACAAAAGAAACTATCGAATAAAAGCATTCTTCTATTCTTTCAAACCAGAATACTAGTTAGTTCTCTAGGAAATTAGCAATGTCAGGTTGCTGAGTAATGGTTTGATCTAAACAAGACAATTTCCTTACGATATTAGTGACAGAATGAGAGAATTAAGAAATTAACATAGTTATGGAACTGAGAGCAGGTTTTGTTCATTCCCTTCTTGGTATTTCAGTTGCTTGGAAAGAAGAGCAACTTTGTTCTTCTTTCGTTTGTCCACTTTTTGGACTCCCTTTCCTTTTAAAAATCTGTTTATCTGTTCCTCGTTTTGATGCTTAATGCCTGCCTTAATTACCAGGCTACCTTTGCTAGGGTTGTTCTCAAACCTACTTATTTATATGAAAAACAGCTTCTGCTGTTATAAAATTATTATTCATTTTACAAGCAATGCTATACATTGTTAATTTACACCTTTCTTTCAGCAACAGTGATACTACCAGAATATATAAATCCTAGGTTTGATATTTGGTTGACTAACCAAAGAAATCCTTTATTTAGGCATCAAACTCAAAAGAAATCTCAGCTTTCTAGAATCCTGAAATGAAAAACTTCAGCCAATGTAATATAGCTAACATGTAGTTCATGTACAATTATGTGTTGCTTAATGACGGGGACACATTCCAAGAAATGCATCATTAGGCGATTTAGTCTTTATGCAAACATAATAGAGTGTACTTATGCAAACCTGGATGGTGTAGTCTACTACACACCAAGGCAATATGGTATAGCCTACTGGCCCTAGGCTACAAACCTGTACAGTATGTTACTGTACTGAATGCTACAGACATTTGTAACACAATGGTAAACATTTGTGTATCTAAACCTATCTAAACATAGAAAAGGTGTAGTATAAATATGGTATTATAATCTTATAGGACCGATGTCATATATGCAGTCCATTGTTGACTGAAACATGTTATGCAGTGCATGACTGTACTTTAATCTCTTTTCAAAACTAAAGTAGAATTGATTTAATTTTATACATAGTATTATGTTATATATAGTCCATGGTTCTTCCTTGGATTGTAGTTAAAAGCCAAGCAGGAGAGATTGGAGATAGCAGATTAAATATGGGAGGAAGAAAGGGCTATGAGAAAGAGGTGATAAGAAAGGAGACACGAGAACTGTCAAATTGAATGGCCATGGACTAAGTAATGCAGAAGCAAAAAAAATTTATCAACTTCGTAACATCTGAGAACACCATTATTTTGCATGAGAGAATGATAACTGAAGCTGATGATGACATTGAATCATCATGAGGGTAAACTATATTACATATACTGTGTAAGTAAAAGCAGAGACATTTAAAATAGAAAGTTTTTCATTGAACTTGGTTAATGATTCAACTATTTACAACACTGATTTTATAGTACGTATTGCTTATTGATGTGGACAAATGGTGCATTACTCTAGGTTTAGACTTTTTGAGAGGTTAATGTGAACTAGATTTTAGAAGTTAGTTTGTGGTAGTAGTCATGTCATAGTTAAAGCTTCTTTATTTTTATTTTGGCTTGTTGCAAAAATATTTTCCAAAAATGCTTCAAAATAAATCTTTTATTTTAAGGGAAGACATTTGTTCATCTAAAGAGAAATGTAACATGTTAGGTAAGTTATTTTGTCAATTAAGTTTAGCTTATGTAATTGTTTATTGAATTATTTACAATAATGTTTAGGCTATTTTCCATTTATTTTACATTTTAGTAATTTTGATTAATTATCTTGATAAATTATTACACTTGTCACTTATTTCATTCTGCTGCTGTAAATTTTACAAAATGATAAGAACTAACATTTATTTGCAAATTACTCAATATCAAATGCTGTGCATGAGAAATAATACGTAATCACCTATATGCCAATTTAAAGGGAAATAATAAAATGAATAGCCATGAATTCACCATTAGATTTAGGTTAGAACTTTGCCACTACTATTGCTTGGTCTATGCTCAGTCATTTTCCATCACTCTACTTTTCCCCATGAGGTAGCCAATAGCATGAATTTTGTATTTACCAATTCCTTCTGTCTCTTGAAAAATAGTTTTATTACATATGTATGTTCCTAAACAAAAACTATTTGCTTTTATTACATATATATGTGTTCCTAAACAAAAATCACTTTTGCTTATTTTTGAATTCTGTAGTCAAAGTTCATGCATTTTCACTGTTATATATTTCATCTACAGTTTATATATCTATATCATATTAGTGTGTATTTGGGCTGATTCTACTTTTTTGTGTCATGAACTTCACTGGAAGAGCTAGGGTATATCCCTAGGATTAAGATGCCTGTGCCATTAAGTGAGCTAATATTCACATTTATAAGATATAACAAATTATTTTCTAAAGGGGTTATACCAATTTTTACATTTATCAATAAACATTCCTTTTGATTATATCTTTATAAATACTGGGTATCTTCAGATTTCTTTTTTTTAGTCTAAATGTAATATATTTTATTACCATTAGAATTTTCTTTTCACTGATTGCTAATGAATTCAAGCATCTTTTCATATATTTGTATTTCTTTTTCTGTAAGGAATGAAATCAATGAAAGAAACATTGCCCATATTTGTGGTGTGGTATTTGTTGCTTTCTTACTGCTTTTCAGGTATTCTTGATAACTTCCTGACACCAAATCCTTTGTGGTTTATACATATTACAAACATCTTTTAGCAGTTTGTTGGTTTGTTTTCATTCTTTTATGTGTGAAAATATAAAATGTAGCTGAATTTATAAACCTATTCTTTTAGAGTTAGCTTTTTTGTTTCTTCTTTAAGAAACCATTGTGTAACTCAAGGTCTAAACATATTATCCTGTTTTCTTGTAAATATTTTAAAATTTGTCCTTTAACATTTAAATCTCTAATCCATTGGGGTAATTTTTTTTGACATCATATTAGGTAGACATTTAGTTTTATTCCTTTAAAAAATTCAAATAAATATCCTTTATTAAAGAAAAAAAGGAATATTATTAAGCACCAAAACTGTAAGCTGTTACATTGCACGTACAATAACTGAAAGGTAATTGCAGTACTTGGTGTACTGGTACTTAACTCTGAAGTTATGTATAACAAATAGGAAACACAAAGCAACACAATATAGTAATTACAATGTAGAAAAGTTGCACTAAAGAGCCAAAGGCAACAGTCAAAACAATTATTGGAGATTTCATAGTATTGCTATAAATGTCTGTTTAGTTTTTTCTTTATACTTTTAATACATTAGAATGTTAAGTATATTTAAGTATTGTAAATTTGCAAGAGTAGGCACTTACAATACACTATGCACATTGTTTATTTAACGTAATGGTGCTAAAGCAATCCTTATAAGCCAAGCACAATGTGCTGCTGTTTTGCTTCTACCTTTATAATATTGTACAAAGCTAGTAAATGGTGAATGCCAATAAAATTTTCATTTACCCGGAAATGCTACAAAACATGTCAGTCTCCTTAGCTCGAATGGGTATTATTCATGCAAAATGATGTGTAGTTTTGAAGTTTTCATAAACTCATTATTTCACACTTGGCAAGACATGCGATACAGTGAGAAATTCAACAAGGCAGTGGAAATTCTATCAAAGAAGTTCGAAGTCACTGTGTGGGTTGCATCATCTACTCCCACAGATGAAGGGAAAATGCCACCTGTGATTATGGAGACTTCTTAAAACCAATATAATTAATATTTGGAAAAGCTGGAATAACTTGTCATACCCCTCGATGGTTAACCATATAACACATAAGTTTAAAAAAAGCCAAAAATTTTCCCTGTTAAACCTGAACTCTATAACCACATCCATACCTTTTGTTTTCATCTAAACATTACTTTTTAACATCTTTTCTTCCCTCGCTCAACTCCCCAAATTGAACCACTCTAAAAAATCAGTTGTACCTGATTTAAAAACAACAACACAAAAACAAAAAAACTCTTCTTCTAACCCTCAAAATAAACAACTGCTTTGAAGTTCACTGTGAAATTACATTCATAATCCTTTTTTATTTGAATAATCAATTCCCCAAACTATACATTGAATAATTCCTCTCTTTTTCTTAGAATCTGAAATGTCATATATAAAATTTCGGTATGCACTTGAGTCTGCAACATCATGCCACCATTTTATGGGACCATATTTGCTATTTATCCATGCATCAGTTCCATAATATTTTCATTTTTATAGTTCTATAATAAATATTAATCAGTGGGGTATATACCACCAGCTTCTTTTCTTCAAGAATATTTTGGCTATTTTTGGACTTTTGTTCATCTGTGGAAGTTTTAGAATCAGCATGTCAAGTTCTCAAAACATTTATCTGTCTGTTTAGGTAAGACTTTTAAAATGTCATTCAATAATAAATTATTTTCTTTCAATGTGTCATGTACAACTGTTGCTAGACTTTAATTTTTTAATTTATTAATTTTTTTATTTCAATAGTTTCATGGATACAAGTGGTTTTTGGTTACATGGATTAATTATATAGTGGTGAAGTCTTAAGATTTTCGTGCACCCATCACTTGAGTAGTGTACATTGTACCTAATAGGTAGTTTTTCACTCCTCACCCCCCTCCCACCCTCCCACTCTTCCCTCTTCCGAGCTTCCAGTGTCCATTGTGCCACTCTGTATGCCTTTGCATACCCATAGCTTAGTTTTCACTTATAAGTGAGAACATGCAGTATTTGGTTTTTGATTCTTGAGTAACTTCACTTAGAGTAATGCCTCCAGTTCCATCCAAATTGCTACAAAGGACATTATTTCATTGTTTTTGTGTGTGTGTCTGAGTAGTAATCCATGGTGTATACATACCACATTTTCTTTGCCCACTCATCAGTTGATGGATAGTTAGGTATTTTTGCAGTTGTGAATTGTGCTGAGATAGCATATGTGTGCAGGTGTCTTTTTGATATAGTGACTTCTGTTCCTTTGGGTAAATACCCAGTAGTGGGATTACTGGATCAAATGGTAGATCTATTTTTAGTTCTTTGAGAAATCTTCATACTATTTTCCACAGAGGTTATACTAACTTACATTGTTATCAGCAGTGTACTTGCATTTCTTTTTTACCACATCTATGCCAATATCTGTTGTTGTTTGACTTTATAATAATGGCCTTTCTGGTTGTGGTAAGATGGTATCTCATTGTAGTTTTAATTTGCATTTTCCTGATGATTAGTAATGATGAGCATTTTTTCATATGTTTGTTGGCCAATTGTACATCTCCTTTGAGAAATGTCTGTTCATGTCCTTTGCTCACTTTTTAATGGGATTATTTGTTTTCTTGCCGATTTGTTTGAGTATCTTGTAGATTCTGGATATTAGTCCTTTGTCACATGCATCGTTTGCAAATATTTTCTCCCACTCTGCATTGTCTTTTTACTCTGATGATTATTTCTTTTGCTGTGCAGAAGCTTTTGAATTTAATCAGATTCCATTTATTTATTTTTGTTTTTGTTGCATTTGCTTTTGGGGTCTTAGTCATAAATTCTTTGCCTAGGCCAATGTCCAGAAGAGTTTTTCCTAGGTTTTCTTCTAGAATTTTTATGGTTTCAAGTCTTAGATTTAAGTATTTAATCCATCTTGAGTTGATTTTTGTATAAGGTGAAATATAGGGATACAGTTTCATTCTTCTACATGTGGCTATCCAACTTTCCCACCACCATTTATTAAATAGGGTATTCTTTCCCCAATTTATATTTTTGTATGCTTTGTCAAAAATCAGTTAGTTGTAAGTATTTGGCTTTATTTGTGGGTCTTCTATTCTGTTCCATTGATCTATGTGTCTGCTTTTATACCAGTACCATACCGTTTTGGTTACTATAGCCTTGTAGTATAGTTTGAAGTTGGGTATGTGTTGCTTCCAGGTTTATTCTTTTTGCTTAGGATTGCCTTAGCTACTGGGTTCCTGTTTGGTTCTATATGAATTTTATAATTGTTGTTTTATAATTCTTTGAAAAATGATATTGATATTTTGATAGAAATGCATTGAATGTGTAGATTTTTTGGCAATATGGTCATTTTCAATGATATTGATTTTTCCAGTCCACAAGCATGGGATGTATTTCTGTTTGTTTCATTTATTATTCATCTATGTTTTCTTTCAGCAGTGTTTTATAGTTCTCCTTGTTGCGATTTTCCACCTCCTTGGTTAAGTGTATTCCTAGGTATTTTATTTTATTTTTTGCAGCTGTTGTAAAAGGGATTGAGTTCTTGATTTGATTCTCTGCTTGATTGTTTTTGGTGTATAGCAGTGATACTGATTTGTGTATGTTGATTTGGGAACCTAAGACTTTACTGAATTCATTTATCAGATCTAGGAGTCTTTTGGAGGAGTCTGTAAGATGGTCTAGGTATACAATCATATAATCAGTGAACAGAGATAGTTTGACTTCCACTTTTCCAATTTGGATGCCCTTTATTTCTTTCTCTTGCCTGATTGCTCTGGCTAAGACTTCTAGTAATATGTTGAATAGAAGTAGTGAAAGTGGGCATCTTTGTCTTGTTCCACTTCTCAGGGAGAATGCTTTCAGCTTTTCCCTGTTCAATATGATAGTGGCTGTGGGTTTGTCATATATGGCTTTTATTATTTTGAGATATGTTCTTTCTATGCCTAGTTTGAGGATTTTTATCATAAAGGGATGTTGGATTTTATCAAGTTCTTTTTCTGAATCTATTGATATGATCATATAGTTCTTGTTTTTAATTGTTTATGTGATGAATCACATTTATTGACTTGTTTATGTTGAACCATCCCTGCATTCTTAGAATTAAACTTCTTTGATCATGGTGAATTATGTTTTCGATGCACTCTTCAGTTTGCTAGTATTTTGTTGAGGATTTTTCTACCTATATTCATCAGGGATATTGTTCAGTAGTGGTTTTGTTGTTGTTGTTGTTGCTTTTTTTTTTTTTTTTTGGCTACGTCCTTTCTTGACTGGTATCAGGGAAATACTGGCTTTATAAAATTAGTTAAGGAGGATTCCCTCCTCCATCTTTTGGAACAGTTTTAGTAGAATTGATACTAATTCTTGTTTGAATGTCTGATCGAATTCAGTAGTGAATCCGTCTGGCCCTGAGGTTCTTTCCTACATGTTGACTTTAGATAGCCTGATGACTGTAAGCCTTGGTGATATCCTTTTTGCAATGATTTTCTCAGGAGTTCTTTGAGCTTCTGAATGTCTGAATGTATCTGAATGTCTAAATCTCTAGCAAGGCCAGAGAAGTTTTCCTCAGTTATTCCCTCAAATAGATTTTACAAACTTTTTGATTTTTCTTCTCTCTTAGGAACACCTATAATTCCTAGGTTTGGCCATTTTACATAATCTCATATTTCTTGGAGACTTTGTTCATTTCTTTTCATTCTTTTTTAAAAAAATTGTCTGATTGGGTTAATTTGAAAGTCTTGTCTTTGAGCTCTGAAATTATCTCTTCTAGTCTGTTGTTAGACTCCTTCTAGTCTATTGTTAAAATTTGCACTGCATTTTCTAGTTTCGTAAATGTGTCTTTCATTTCCAGAAGTTCTGATTGTTTTTTTATTTAAAATATCTCTTTAGAACATTTTTAATTTATATCCTGAATTCTTTAAAAATCCTATTTGTTTTTCACCTCTCTATTGTATCTCCTTGAGTTACTTAATAATCAACCTTTTGGATTCTTTATCTGGTATTTCAAAGATTTCATTTTGGCTTACACCCACTTCTGGAGAGTTAGTATAATCTTTTGGGGATGTCACAGAACCCTGTTTTTAATATTGCCAGAATTATTTTTCTGGTTCCTTCTCATTTGGGTAGACTATGTCTTCTAATTATTTTTGTATTTATTTTTGATTCAACTGGGTTTTTTTAAGAATTTCATTTTTCCCCCTTGAGGATGTGCTTTTAATGTTTATAGTTTATTGTCACCTAGCTTTGGTTCTGGCTGCTTTCAGTGGTGGACTCAGTATGAGTTCCTTGATTATAGAAAATCTTCATGCAATGGGTTTCTCAGATGCTGGTAGTCGTAGTGATGTGGTGGGTCTATGGGTTCACTGTCTCCTGTGTGGCTGGAATGGAAGAGGTCTCATGACACTTATCTTGTTGCCCCATGGTGTGCACTTTAAAAAGTGTTTTATCCCAATTACTTTATTCACTGGATTGAATAGTTCATGCTTCAGGCCAGTAAGCGGTACCCATGGGTAAAAACTGGCTGCGGCTAAAGCAGGTGAGTAAATGCAATACCCCAGTGTTGGGCAGACATCTCAGCCTTGACAGAGCAGGCTGGGGAAGCTGCACTGAGGACTTTTCAAGGGGAAGAGAAGGAGCCACCGTGACTCTCCTTCCAAGCCAGCAGGAAAGCGATCCACCACCCAGTCACATTCCCAACCCAATGTTCTGGTTATTCAGATCAGACAAACACCTCATTTCATTTTTAGGAATGCTGATGTTCCATTTAGAGAGGGGTTGTGACTCTACCTCTTGTGCAAGCCTGGACCTGGAGGGTGTTCCTCCTGTGGGGATGTTGTCACCCTGAAGTACTCCAGTAAGGCTGTCCACAGATGGTGAGGGGGAGAAGTACCCTTCTCTAAGACCCTTCATGAGCACCAGGGCTGCCTGACTCTTGAGCTCAGTACTGTACCTATGCCTCTGCTGAAACTCCCCACAGGTGGAAAATTCAGGGGCTCATGGCCTCCAGTCTGGTTTCTTTTGTCCCACAGGGTGCTTCCTTAATATGGAACACTCCCCTTCCCCCTAGAATTAGCAGTCCCTGAGAGCCAGGCTACCGTGAATCTTGCTGCTTCTTTGGGTCTAGCTGCCCAGTGAGGCTGCCACACCCCAGGTTGGTGCTGGGGAATGTCTGCAAGGAATCCAGAGATGTGACCTGTCCTCTAGTTTCCCAGTAGCAGGTACCAGTACCAGCTCTGATGGAGGTGGAAGAGGAGTGACGTAGACTCTGAGATTTCTTTCATTATAAGTAGCCTTAGTGTGTTGGCTTTCTCAAATGTCAGCTGTAGTAGTGATATACTGGCTCATGGACAGACTCAAGATCTCCTGGTTAGCCAGGCTGATGCAGGCAGTGGTGACAGCTGAGGTTGTGCAAAGGTTTTCTCCTTCCTGAGCCAGGAAGAAGATACAATCTGTTATCTGACCTACAGATGTTGTAACTGGCTGTTCAGTTGCACACCAGCCAGGAGATGGTGCTTTCAAAAGTACAGCAGTTATGGTGGTAGCAGTGGAATTTGTGCTTGCCTTATGTTACCCAGGGGAGGTACTCTGATGTCTCAGGCAATGGGTGGAGCCATGGAACTCCCAAGTGTCCTTGTCTTTTGTGTTATGCTACCAGGGCAGGTGGAGGGGTAAAGCTAGGTTGGGGATGGGTCAGGCAAGTCTGTGCTCTGGCTCTCCACATGTAGGCACAAGCAGCAGCCCCAGTGGGAAGCAGAAGGCAGCTCCCTGGCTGCTGGAGTAATGTTCCGGGGAGGAGCACAGCTGCCTCTGCTACACAAAAGAATCTACACTGGGAGGTGGCAGTAAGCCCCACTCAGCTCCCACACTCTTGCAAGGCAAGTCTTACACCCACAGTGATCTGCTAACAGCAGCTAACTGGGTTTCAGGCAGCTTGTTTCAGAACTCGAAACTTCCCCAGACTATAAGCCTTCCCTATGGAGATGGAGTGACTTTCACGCCACACCCTTTCCTGTCTGCCCATGAAGCAAAGGTGTCCAGCTCCTGCCCCCGTGGTGACAACACACTTCAGGCTCGCTCCTCTGGTCTGGCCAACGAGGTTCGTTCCCACTTGAGATTATATTGCAAACCTCATTTGGGAGCTTCTCTCAACCTGTGACCACTGCCTGAATTAGCTGGCCAACTTTTGCGAGGTTCGTTGTGAGAATGGATCAGAAATGGCTTTCTTCCATCCCTGCTGGAGACTGGGAGTACACACTGATGCCGTTCCTTCTCATATATTCCCCGCTGCTCACTAAATCAGCTGCAGCACTGGGTAGGGTTAACGCCTTCTCCCCATGGCCTGGATTTCCTGGCTTCCCAGTGGGAGTGTGTGTCACGGTGGCAGGCTCTCCCCAATTCACCCTTGGGAGGCTCCATTTTCCGTCTGGTTCATGATGTAGGCTGTTGCCCATTGCTTCCTTCAAAGGGTCTGTGGTTTCTTTCCATTTTTCGGTTAAGTTCCTGTGTTGCTTCTTGGAAAAAAGTTCACAGTGTGAGTTCCACACGCTATTTTGTCTTTCCGGGTGGGAGAGGCATGCCAAAAATACCTCCAGTTAGCCATCTTGGAGAAAAAAAATAAAACAAAAAAATGACTTTTATTTTCTATTGTTAAAGTAAATGTTTTATGATGCCGGTCCATAGAAATGCAACAGATTATTTGGCTTGTTGATTTTTAAATGCAGCCACCTGATTCATCACTTTAATTAATTCTCATAGTTTCACTTGTAGATTCTTTTTGATTGTTATGTGAATAATTATATTTGTGAATTATGGCAATATATTTCCTCTTCTTTAATCCTTATAACTCTTTTCTTGTCTTACTGCAAGATAAAAATCTCTTATAGAATGATGAAGAGACGTTTCTGGATTTTAAAAGGAATACTTTAAGGTTGCACCATTAAGAAAAATATTTGCTGTAGGTTCTTAGCAGATAAATTTATTATCCTTGTTTTCTGAGTCTTTTAAAAAATGATACATGTTTTATTTTCTTAAGTGTTTTTTCTGCAGATAGTGAAATGATCATATGATTATTTCATCTTAACCCATTTAGGCCTAGTGTTCCATTATTGGAACGCTAAGCTTGTGGAAGTTATTTATATCCTACTGCTCAAGGTCATCACCAAGGTCTGATTTTTCACACACAAAAAATGTGCAACCTCCTGTATAAATGGGTTAATCTGGTGAATTCCATAGAATTTTAAAATTAATATTATTTTTAGTTGACAAATCATAATTATATACATTTTTGGGGGTAAAATGTAGTGTTTTGATATACGTAGGCAATGTGGAATGATTAAATCAAGCTAATTAACAAACCTATTATCTTATTCTTTTTTTTGGTGAGACATCTGAAACATACTTTCTTAGTTATTATAATACATTATTATAACTATAGTCACCCTCCTGTGCAATAGATCTCAAAAACGTATTTCTCCTGTCTAACTGAAACTATGTACCCTTTGACTAAGAACTTCCCCATTCCCTACCTCTAATATCTGCCCACACTCCCTCAGCATGTGGAAACCACCATTCTTCTCTCTACTTATCAGAGTTCGACTTTTTTAGATTCCATGTAAATGAGATCATGTGATATTTGTCTTTCTATGCCTGGCTTATTTCACTGAGCGTAATGTCCTACAGATTCATCCATGCTGTTGCAAATGACAGAATGTTCTTCTTCTTTAAAGGCTGAATTGTGTTCCATTATGTATATATACCACATTTTCTTTATCTACTTATGCATTGATGTATACTTATGTTGTATACTGTAAAGTAAATTACTACAGCCATTATGGAAAATAGTATGAAGATTTCTCAAAAAGCTGAAAATAGAACTACCATATGATATAGCAATCCCACTCCTGGGTATATATCGAAAGGAACTGAAATCAGTATGATGAAGAAACAGTTGCACTTCCATGTTTATTGCAGCATAGATTTTTCTAACAGTAAACCAGCCTTGAACAAGACTCTTCCTTCTTTACCCCCCACACACTGCTAGATTCTACTTGCTAATTTCATGCATATATTTTCAGGAGTGAAGATGGCCTGTAATTTTCCTCTCTTTTAGTGTAGTTTTCTAATTTTGATTATAAGGTTTCATTCACCTTATAAAATGAGTTAAGGTGTATTATTTTTTCCCCAAGTCTAGAAGATTTACTTTGCGGAAGGTTAACCATTTATGGAGTTTCTCCAGTGGAAATCAGATTTTATTTATGTCTTCTTAAATATATTTGAAAAGTTATTCTTTCTAGATATTTGACTATTTCTTTTACTAGTAACATTTATTAGCTTAAATGATTTTCATAGCATTTTCTTATTGTTTTAAGCTTTCTCACTCTAGTTGTGTCTCAATTTATTTCTGATATTGTTTGTGCCTCTCTTTTTTAATAGGTCAATTCACTGAAATATTGTTTATTTGTCTTTTTAATGAACCAACTATTTGCTTTTTGTGTCTTATTTTTATTTCATGAATGTCTGCTCTTTGTTGTCTTTCTTGTAGCTTTGTTTTTCAATTTACTCCTGCTGTTCTATTTGTAAGTTGATTGCTTAACTGATTAATGTCCAGGATTTCTTCTTTTCTAATTTTATTATTTGAGACTATCAATTTACTTTAAGGTATCACTTTTTTGTGTCCCATAAGTTTTTATTGGTATTTTCCATGTCATTAAAAATTCTAAATGTATGTAAATCATATTTAAATTCCATCATGATTTATTTGCTGCTTCATGAATTACATAAAAATGCATTTAAATATTTATGAATGTGTGGAGACTTGTTATTTTTATTTATTGACTTACAACTTAATTTTATTGCAGTTAGAGAATGTGATCTATTGATATTCTTTGCAATCTTGATATTTCCTTTATGATCTATTATGTAGCCAATTTAAGAAAATACTCCATGTATACTTTAAAAGAATGTATATTCTTTGAGTTCTGTATTTGTCTATTAAATCAAATTTGCTAATTGTGTAGTTCAAATCAACTATTTATTTACTAATTACATTACTAATTGAAACATGAAGTATATCTCTATCACTTTCTTCATATAATTTTACAATTAGTTACCTCGTCTAGCTTAAGGCTAACTTATTAGATACATAGTTTAGTGAATAGAACCTTTTACAACTGTGTAGTGACTCTCTTTATCTCTGATAATGCTTTTTAAAGAAAAAATAGAGTTGGTGTGTCTGAGCTGTTGTCACTCATAATAAATGTATGGGTTCTTTCCACATCAACAACCAGTTCTTCAACTCTCCAGACACTAAATACTCTACAATTCAGTTCATTTCTGATACTTAACTACCCTGAGTTTGTGCCAGACTCCGCAGGTTTAAGCGCTCAGTCCTATAAAACCGTCCTTACTTCAGGCACCAGTTGCAAGTATGAGGTGCCCAGGGTACCTACACATCTGTCTGAGTTAGCTGCAAAGTCAGGGATTCTCACAACCCACTCTTTCTAATTCAGTAATTTACTAAAATAACTCATAGGTTTCAGTTTTTTCCTGATTTAACAGGCAAATACTCTTATTTTCAAAATATATTTTTCTAGTTACCAATTCTAGGTTGACAGTTATTTTCTCTCAATATCTTGAATATATGATTGTGTTGTGCCTGCCTTTTGCTATTGAGAAATCTGTAGTGGGTTTAGTTGTAGATTTTTTGGTGATCTGTCTTTTATAAGATCCTCTCTTTGTCTTGAATATAAAGCAGTTTCATTAAAACTTCATCCTAATATAGGTATGTTTCTTTTTATTTATCCTGCTTGGGCTATGTCATGAGTCCTATATCTACTGTTTATCTTCCAGCAATTTTGGAAAATTTTCATTTTTTTCTTTCAAATTTTATCCTATTATTTTATCTGTTTTCACCGTGGGATTCTACTACATCTGTATTAGATCTTCTCATTCTGCTGTCTGTGCTTTCATTTTTTTTCTCTTCGTGCTTCATTCAAGCAGCTCTAATTTCCATTTTACTAATATAAATTAGTATATTTGGCTCTCTCTTTAGCTATGTCTAATCTGGTATTTCACCCATCCTTCACATTTTACATTTTAAAATATATATATTTTTCAATGTAAAAGATACTACTTAGTTCTTATTAAAAATCTACCTGTTCGTTTTGTTTACATTTAAAAAATATTTGTGCATGTTTTTAATTGAATTTCATTTTCTTAAACATCTTATGTGGAATAATTTTATATTACGTATCTGAAAATTCACATATCTGAAATACATGATAGCCATACATCTTATTTCTTCTTTTACGTATGTTCTCTTATTTATTTGTTTGTTTGATGGTCTTTGATTTTGAGCTTATATTTATTTAATATTAAGCCATGGGGTTGAAAAATTGCTAGCTCAAAAAGTGTGTGCTTTCTTCTAGAGATTTTTATTTCTTGTTGGAGTCCAAAGGGTGTTCATAACTTGAGTCCCTGGCTTAATGAAGAAAACTCAACATCCACATGCACCTTGAAGCTTCCTCTAGCAAGCTCTTACTCTTTGGACCATATTACTTTTATCAGTATTTGCCCTCAGAATAGCATCTATCCTTATTATTCATTGCTTACCGCCTAGAATTTGAAAAGTATGAATGTGTGTATATGTGTGTACATATGCCTGCATGCTTGTGTATTGAGAGAGAGAGAGAGAAAGAAAGAGACAAAGAAGAGAGAGAGAGTGCATATGTGTGCTAAATCACTGAGGTTTGGACTTGATAGTCCTCACTAGTCATGTGAGCTAGGCTTTCATTAAAACCTAGTTTTTATTAAATATCTAGTTTCTTTATGTTAAGGGGTTCTTTGGAAATGCCAGTCTTCCACACTTGTAGAAATAGGCACTTGTTGCTCTAATTTTTACAACAGACTGAATTTCTTCCTCCCTACAAACTATTCTCTGGGTTTGTTAAGAGTATTTTATGAGATCACTTAATAAGAATCTACTGAATATATTTCTTGCATTATCTATACCCTGTTGTCCCATCTTTAAACTTAAGTAGTATGAACTTTTACTGAGTATCTGTCATTTCTTACTATTTTTTTAGTGCTTGAATGCTAGACATTCTGGACTATTCCTATAGAAATTGTTGGTCTTCTAGTCCCCAATTATGGTTTTATAGCTTTCTGCCACTCCTGTGTACATAAATTATAATGACATTTAGAAACGTATAATGTGATGATGAAAGCATTATTATCCCTTAAGTCAAGAGTAATGATTATAATGATAGTTAAGGTAATTGTTTTTTTTTTTTTTTTATTTAGAGGTCTTTTATTTAAATCATCTTGTATCATGTCTGACACTTTTTTTTTTTTTTTTATACTTTAAGTTTTAGGGTACATGTGCACATTGTGCAGGTTAGTTACATATGTATACATGTGCCATGCTGGTGTGCTGCACCCACTAACTCGTCATCTAGCCTTAGGTATATCTCCCAATGCTATCCCTCCCCCCTCCACCCACCCCACCACAGTCCCCAGAGTGTGGTATTCCCCTTCATGTGTCCAGCTGATCTCATTGTTCAATTCCCACCTATGAGTGAGAATATACGGTGTTTGGTTTTTTGTTCTTGTGATAGTTTACTGAGAATGATGATTTCCAATTTCATCCATGTCCCTACAAAGGATATGAACTCATCATTTTTTATGGCTGCATAGTATTCCATGGTGTATATGTGCCACATTTTCTTAATCCAGTCTATCATTGTTGGACATTTGGGTTGGTTCCAAGTCTTTGCTATTGTGAATAATGCCGCAATAAACATACGTGTGCATGTGTCTTTATAGCAGCATGATTTATAGTCCTTTGGGTATGTACCCAGTAATGGGATGGCTGGGTCAAATGGTATTTCTAGTTCTAGATCCCTGAGGAATCGCCACACTGACTTCCACAATGGTTGAACTAGTTTACAGTCCCACCAACAGTGTAAAAGTGTTCCTATTTCTCCACATCCTCTCCAGCACCTGTTGTTTCCTGACTTTTTAATGATTGCCATTCTAACTGGTGTGAGATGATATCTCATAGTGGTTTTGATTTGCATTTCTCTGATGACCAGTGATGATGAGCATTTTTTCATGTGTTTTTTGGCTGCATAAATGTCTTCTTTTGAGAAGTGTCTGTTCATTTCCTTTGCCCACTTTTTGATGGGGTTGTTTGTTTTTTTCTTGTAAATTTGTTTGAGTTCATTGTAGATTCTGGATATTAGCCCTTTGTCAGATGAGTAGGTTGTGAAAATTTTCTCCCATGTTGTAGGTTGCCTGTTCACTCTGATGGTAGTTTCTTTTGCTGTGCAGAAGCTCTTTAGTTTATTTAGATCCCATTTGTCAATTTTGGCTTTTGTTGCCATTGCTTTTGGTGTTTTGGACATGAAGTCCTTGCCCATGCCTATGTCCTGAATGGTAATGCCTAGGTTTTCTTCTAGGGTTTTTATGGTTTTAGGTCTAACGTTTAAATCTTTAATCCATCTTAAATTGATTTTTGTATAAGGTGTAAGGAAGGGATCCAGTTTTAGCTTTCTACATATGGCTAGCAAGTTTTCCCAGCACCATTTATTAAATAGGGAATCCTTTCCCCATTGCTTGTTTTTCTCAGGTTTGTCAAAGATCAGATAGTTGTAGGTATGCGGCGTTATTTCTGAGGGCTCTGTTCTGTTCCATTGATCTATATCTCTGTTTTGGTACCAGTACCATGCGGTTTTGGTTACTGTAGCCTTGTAGTATGGTTTGAAGTCAGGTAGTGTGATGATGCCTCCAGCTTTGTTCTTTTGGCTTAGGATTGACTTGGCGATGCGGGCTCTTTTTTGGTTCCATATGAACTTTAAAGTAGTTTTTTCCAATTCTGTGAAGAAAGGCATTGGTAGCTTGATGGGGATGGCATTGAATCTGTAAATTACCTTGGGCAGTATGGCCATTTTCACGATATTGACTCTTCCTACCCATGAGCATGGAATGTTCTTCCATTTGTTTGTATCCTCTTTTATTTCCTTGAGCAGTGGTTTGTAGTTCTCCTTGAAGAGGTCCTTCACATCCCTTGTAAGTTGGATTCCTAGGTATTTTATTCTCTTTGAAGCAATTGTGAATGGGAGTTCACTCATGATTTGGCTCTCTGTTTGTCTGTTGTTGGTGTATAAGAATGCTTGTGATTTTTGTACATTGATTTTGTATCCTGAGACTTTGCTGAAGTTGCTTATCAGCTTAAGGAGATTTTGGGCTGAGACGATGGGGTTTTCTAGATAAACAATCATGTTGTCTGCACACAGGGACAATTTGACTTCCTCTTTTCCTAATTGAATACCCTTTATTTCCTTCTCCTGCCTGATTGCCCTGGCCAGAACTTCCAACACTATGTTGAATAGGAGTGGTGAGAGAGGGCATCCCTGTCTTGTGCCAGTTTCCAAAGGGAATGCTTCCAGTTTTTGCCCATTCAGTATGATATTGGCTGTGGGTTTGTCATAGATAGCTCTTATTATTTTGAAATACGTCCCATCAATACCTAATTTATTGAGAGTTTTTAGCATGAAGGGTTGTTGAATTTTGTCAAAGGCTTTTTCTGCATCTATTGAGATAATCATGTGGTTTTTGTCTTTGGCTCTGTTTATATGCTGGATTACATTTATTGATTTGCGTATATTGAACCAGCCTTGCATCCCAGGGATGAAGCCTACTTGATCATGGTGGATAAGCTTTTTGATGTGCTGCTGGATTCGGTTTGCCAGTATTTTATTGAGGATTTTTGCATCAATGTTCATCAAGGATATTGGTCTAAAATTCTCTTTTTTGGTTGTGTCTCTGCCCAGCTTTGGTATCAGAATGATGCTGGCCTCATAAAATGAGTTAGGGAGGATTCCCTCTTTTTCTATTGATTGGAATAGTTTCACAAGGAATGGTACCAGTTCCTCCTTGTACCTTTGGTAGAATTCGGCTGTGAATCCATCTGGTCCTGGACTCTTTTTGGTTGGTAAACTATTGATTATTGCCACAATTTCAGCTCCTGTTATTGGTCTATTCAGAGATTCAACTTCTTCCTGGTTTAGTCTTGGGAGAGTGTATGTGTCGAGGAATGTATCCATTTCTTCTAGATTTTCTAGTTTATTTGCGTAGAGGTGTTTGTAGTATTCTCTGATGGTAGTTTGTATTTCTGTGGGATCAGTGGTGATATCCCCTTTATCATTTTTTATTGTGTCTATTTGATTCTGCTCTCTTTTTTTCTTTATTAGTCTTGCTAGCGGTCTATCAATTTTGTTGATCCTTTCAAAAAACCAGCTTCCTGGATTCATTGATTTTTTGAAGGGTTTTTTGTGTCTCTATTTCCTTCAGTTCTGCTCTGATTTTAGTTATTTCTTGCCTTCTGCTAGCTTTTGAATGTGTTTGCTCTTGCTTTTCTAGTTCTTTTAATTGTGATGTTAGGGTGTCAATTTTGGATCTTTCCTGCTTTCTCTTGTGGGCATTTAGTGCTATAAATTTCCCTCTACACACTGCTTTGAATGCGTCCCAGAGATTCTGGTATGTTGTGTCTTTGTTCTCGTTGGTTTCAAAGAACATCTTTATTTCTGCCTTCATTTCGTTATGTACCCAGTAGTCATTCAGGAGCAGGTTGTTCAGTTTCCATGTAGTTGAGCGGCTTTGAGTGAGATTCTTAATCCTGAGTTCTAGTTTGATTGCACTGTGGTCTGAGAGATAGTTTGTTATAATTTCTGTTCTTTTACATTTGCTGAGGAGAGCTTTACTTCCAAGTATGTGGTCAATTTTGGAATAGGTGTGGTGTGGTGCTGAAAAAAATGTATATTCTGTTGATTTGGGGTGGAGAGTTCTGTAGATGTCTATTAGGTCTGCTTGGTGCAGAGCTGAGTTCAATTCCTGGGTATCCTTGTTGACTTTCTGTCTCGTTGATTTGTCTAATGTTGACAGTGGGGTGTTAAAGTCTCCCATTATTAATGTTTGGGAGTCTAAGTCTCTTTGTAGGTCACTCAGGACTTGCTTTATGAATCTGGGTGCTCCTGTATTGGGTGCATATATATTTAGGATAGTTAGCTCCTCTTGTTGAATTGATCCCTTTACCATTATGTAATGGCCTTCTTTGTCTCTTTTGATCTTTGTTGGTTGAAAGTCTGTTTTATCAGAGACTAGGATTGCAACCCCTGCCTTTTTTTGTTTTCCATTTGCTTGGTAGATCTTCCTCCATCCTTTTATTTTGAGCCTATGTGTGTCTCTGCACGTGAGATGGGTTTCCTGAATACAGCACACTGATGGGTCTTGACTCTTTATCCAACTTGCCAGTCTGTGTCTTTTAATTGGAGAATTTAGTCCATTTACATTTAAAGTTAATATTGTTATGTGTGAATTTGATCCTGTCATTATGATGTTAGCTGGTGATTTTGCTCATTAGTTGATGCAGTTTCTTCCTAGTCTCGATGGTCTTTACATTTTGGCATGATTTTGCAGTGGCTGGTACCGGTTGTTCCTTTCCATGTTTAGCGCTTCCTTCAGGAGCTCTTTTAGGGCAGGCTTGGTGGTGACAAAATCTCTCAGCATTTGCTTGTTTGTAAAGTATTTTATTTCTCCTTCACTTATGAAGCTTAGTTTGGCTGGATATGAAATTCTGGCTTGAAAATTCTTTTCTTTAAGAATGTTGAATATTGGCCCCCACTCTCTTCTGGCTTGTAGGGTTTCTGCCGAGAGATCCGCTGTTAGTCTGATGGGCTTCCCTTTGAGGGTAACCCGACTTTTCTCTCTGGCTGCCCTTCACATTTTTTCCTTCATTTCAACTTTGGTGAATCTGACAATTATGTGTCTTGGAGTTGCTCTTCTCGAGGAGTATCTTTGTGGCGTTCTCTGTATTTCCTGAATCTGAACGTTGGCCTGCCTTGCTAGATTGGGGAAGTTCTCCTGGATAATATCCTGCAGAGTGTTTTCCAACTTGGTTCCATTCTCCGCATCACTTTCAGGTACACCAATCAGACGTAGATTTGGTCTTTTCACATAGTCCCATATTTCTTGGAGGCTTTGCTCATTTCTTTTCATTCTTTTTTCTGTAAACTTCCCTTCTCACTTCATTTCATTCATTTCATCTTCCATCACTGATACCCTTTCTTCCAGTTGATCGCATCGGCTCCTGAGGCTTCTGCATTCTTCACGTAGTTCTCGAGCCTTGGTTTTCAGCTCCATCAGCTCCTTTAAGCACTTCTCTGTATTGGTTATTCTAGTTATACATTCTTCTAAATTTTTTTCAAAGTTTTCAACTTCTCTGCCTTTGGTTTGAATGTCCTCCCGTAGCTCAGAGTAATTTGATTTTCTGAAGCCTTCTTCTCTCAGCTCGTCAAAGTCATTCTCCATCCAGCTTTGTTCCGTTGCTGGTGAGGAACTGCGTTCCTTTGGAGGAGGAGAGGCGCTCTGCGTTTTAGAGTTTCCAGTTTTTCTGTTCTGTTTTTTCCCCATCTTTGTGGTTTTATCTACTTTTGGTCTTTGATGATGGTGATGTACAGATGGGTTTTCGGTGTGGATGTCCTTTCTGTTTGTTAGTTTTCCTTCTAACAGACAGGACCCTCAGCTGCAGGTCTGTTGGAATACCCTGCCATGTGAGGTGTCAGTGTGCCCCTGCTGGGGGGTGCCTCCCAGTTAGGCTGCTCGGGGGTCAGGGGTCAGGGACCCACTTGAGGAGGCAGTCTGCCTGTTCTCAGATCTCCAGCTGCGTGCTGGGAGAACCACTGCTCTCTTCAAAGCTGTCAGACAGGGACATTTAAGTCTGCAGAGGTTACTGCTGTCTTTTTGTTTGTCTGTGCCCTGCCCCCAGAGGTGGAGCCTACAGAGGCAGGCAGGCCTCCTTGAGCTGTGGTGGGCTCCACCCAGTTCGAGCTTCCTGGCTCCTTTGTTTACCTAAGCAAGCCTGGGCAATGGCGGGCGCCCCTCCCCCAGCCTCGCTGCCGCCTTGCAGTTTGATCTCAGACTGCTGTGCTAGCAAACAGCGAGACTCCGTGGGCGTAGGACCCTCCGAGCCAGGTGTGGGATATAGTCCCGTGGTGCGCCGTGTTTTAAGCCGGTCTGAAAAGCGCAATATTCGGGTGGGAGCGACCCGATTTTCCAGGTGCGTCCGTCACCCCTTTCTTTGACTCGGAAAGGGAACTCCCTGACCCCTTGCGCTTCCCAGGTGAGGCAATGCCTCGCCCTGCTTCGGCTCTCGCACGGTGCGTGCACCCACTGGCCTGCGCCCACTGTCTGGCACTCCCTAGTGAGATGAACCCGGTACCTCAGATGGAAATGCAGAAATCACCCGTCTTCTGCGTCGCTCACGCTGGGAGCTGTAGACCGGAGCTGTTCCTATTCGGCCATCTTGGCTCCTCCCCGATAGTTAAGGTATTTGAATGCTTCCTATGAGATACTATATCTGAACAACTCTTATTCTAATTTTATAGATGAGGATGAATAATTTGCAGAAGACCACACAGCTTATATTAATGCAAATGTTAGTATTTTATTTTCTCATCTGAAATATGTGAAAATAACAAACTAAGGAGAGTTCTTAATAATAAACACAAAATGTTGGTAGTAATTACTAGATTTTCTGTTATATCTCCATTTACGTTTATTGTTGCCTCAGTCCCTGACCATGTTTTGCAAAATATGTTGCAGAATGATTTTCATTCTTCAGGATGGCTAGATTGGGTGGCTGTATGCAGCTTCTTGTATTTCCAAACACAGGGAACCTGTATCAAGCTTGGGCCCATGCTGCCTTATTCTATCTTTAAACTTTTAGAGAACCCAGAATTAGCTTGAATGAGTCTAGACACAAACCATCAACCAGCGGCATGTTTCCATAATATTAACCATTTACTTTGAGTTTTGTAGGTGTTGCCTGCTTACGGGAATATTTGAGCTTGGTCTCTAATCATATTTGATACATATTTTTACAAATCTCTTATGTGACTAAAATGTTCAGTTTAAAATGTATATACCTTTAAGCATGAAACATAAAGTTTGGTTGGTAATGGACTCAATAATGTGTTCCAAATATCTGCATAGTGCTAAAAATGAAAATATTGGAATTGTGTAATTTGGCAAATTGAAAATACTAATAAATCCTACTGTAGGATGTCCATGAAAGAAATGCGTTTCCCTTAAACTTATCCTGACAAAAGAGAAACATATAATAAGATGATGATCCACTAAACAACTGAACATGCAAGCATGAATTGTAGAATCTTAAGGAAACCAGTAATTCCCTCACACTCTACAGAGGAAATAATTTCTCTACAGAGAAATAATTTTTTTGTTCTTTTTAATTTTTTTCCTTGCTTGATTTTAGTCTTCCTTGTAAGGAAAAAGCTCGTTTTCTGGAGGGACCTTGCCGAAGCAAGACCTTTTGATGGTGTGGTCAGAAAGAGAGCAAATCTTTCCTTTTTATTAAAAAGTATTGGCTAATGAACTTCTTCATCTTTTGGCTTTTCCCCAGCTTATTTGGATTCCTCAGTTTAACTTCCATTTCTCTTAAAGCACAACAAAAACATTCTAGTTGTTAGGACATCTACCTTAAATGCTAGGAAGATGTTCAAGTTTTTAACTCCTAAGAATAAAAGATGACATAGCAGGGAAGAGCTAAACTAGGAGCTAATGAAGTCTGTTTATTCTATATTAAGACATTTCTAAATGCAAAAGCTTTACAGTAAGAAACTGATTATCTATGAAAAAATCTTTTTTTTGTGAAAGGAAGAGTTCTAGGAAAGCAGATAAATTTACAACCAAATTGAAGGGTAATAATAGCAAAATCATGGGATTATGTTAAGCTAAAAAATAAGTAAATGAAAAACTAACATGATTGGTGGTGAAGTATGGATTGTTGTAATGAATATTTATTTTGAGTTTCTTATCCTATATTATTTTTAGAGGACTGCATATATGATAATTATTGCTGTCTTTGGTGTCCAGCCAGTTCATACCTTCATCTTTCAACAGCACATTTGAGTTGCATGTTATTCTTTACATAGAACTAAATATATCCTGATTTGCAATACATTTCCTATTGCGGAAATGTTACAAAATTATTCAGTGACGGCAGTAATTCTTATATTATAAACTCGTTTTATTTTATTTAACATATATTAAATGCCAGACATTATTCTGACCACTTATTTTTTACTCATGTCATGTGATAATTGAATATTTGTATACTGCTTTAAACCTTAAAAAAGTAAAGAAACTTCATAGATTTGTAGAGTTCTGTGCCATTTTTTTCTCTTATTAGCTTTTCTATTACCAATCAACACATTTAATCTCTTTCCTGCTACCCACGCTAATGTGTTAAAACACTTCATACTTCCTGCAAATATTCTTTTCTTTTTAAAAATTTTTTAAAAATATTTAAAAAGTTGTTTGCTCACTCTACATTTTGGATTATTTACTTCAGTAGATTCCCAAAATTTGCAAAGATGATTTCAACTGCAAATAAATCATTCCATTCTCTTTTTCACCTTTTAAAACGTTTATTCAATATTAACAGCCAATTCTGCATTCTTTTCTAAGTAATAACATCAATGGTTAAATGCTTCAAAATTAAGTTCTTTATGATTTTGGTAGTGTTTTCCATTTTGATGAAATACAAATGTGAAATTTTTCAGGTTTATCATATTTAGGTACCATATGTGATCCTTTACAAAGCTGCTTTATTAATGAAGAAAAAGGACTCATTTCTGCTTTTACTATAGCCCATGAGCTTGGGCACACGTAAGTACCTTCTGTCACCTCCTTAATGTGCATTCTATTTATCTTTGCACAGAATGCCTGAAATTCTATCTTCAGTTGAGTAATTAGTACCTTTGTTTCTTCATAAAATGTTATTAGTGTAATTTTCTTCCCTGAAATGCTAACTCTGGCTCTTTTGTGATCTATGTTAGGTCAGACAGGCTGCACAGATCAACAGACTAAGCAAAGAACTAGAACTTGGGAGTTCTTTTATTTCCTTTACTGTATTGGATACATGACAAGCACTTCTGGCCTCTGTCTCTTGTTATCCTATATATGACCAGGTACTGTCCTCTACCATTTTATGGGAGGGCCTGCATGGGCTCCTGGTTCTGGGGGACTCCCCCAAATATTTGTAATACCAACTCATTTCTTGCTCTCAGTAATGTGCCCCAACAGAGGATATTGCCCATGGGAATTTCTTAGTTACTAAAAGATTTTTTTTAAAGTATTCACTTTTTCCATAGTTGCTCATAAAAATTTGGGATTCTCTTACCTTTTCCTGTATTACTGAAAAATATGCTGGGGTTCTGTGTTGTAAGAATAGAGGCCGTGATTTCTCATGATACCCTTGGAGCTCCCATGGAAAATCAGAAACCCCTACAAATGTATCCTCTGAAAAAAGATTCTAAATGTACCCCTCAGAACTCCTGGTGTTTCTTTGTTATCTGCTAATAAGGACCTGAGTCTAGAGTTGCCTCTGTTAGTTTGACCACATTTAATTTCCTAGTCATGCCTTGAGAAATCATTAGAACATTCAAGGGGAATAATAATTTCAAATGGAGATAATTTTTAGTAAACGATCATCTCTTCAGTTCCCTTTTTGCATGGTTATATCTCATAATCATCAACAAGCTACACACTTTATTTTGTAAGTTGTTTATGAAGTCGGGGGATAGGATGAACAGAATATCTGAGGACAGTAGAAGTATTGCGGCAACATCTGGGTGGCACTATGTGCTGGTTTTCAAGGCTACTAACCAGTAGAAGACGATTTTTGCAGAGAGTACTATCTTAGATATTTGTTTTCTTCCTGAGAAACTCTTTAGGTGTCTCTAGTATATGGGTAAGTTGTTTAATTTAAAAGATTGTTTAAATACAAATTTTAGCAGGCAAGGATCTGAATTAAGTGGTTTCAGTGTTCCTTCTAAACTTGAGCTTATACTTGAGTTCCCCCCAAATTGTATAGGATCTGCTGCCAACCTGCTAATTACTTAATAATTAAGTCATGAAGATGTGACTGCCCTTTAGGAATGTTTTTATTATTCTAGTTCTGTTGGGCATCACTTAGGAAGTATGGACCTAAAATAGTATTTAGGGTCTTTCATATAAAATAGATGGATACTGTAGAATGGTGAGAATTGGGGATTCACGAAGTTCTTGTGATATTGTAGCCATAGTCAATGGTCTAGAATTTAGTGTGGTATTACCTTTACCTAATCTCTATCCACACACTTCTCTATCCACAACATGGGATATCCATGTTGAACCTGCAGGCACTTTTATGTCAATGCTGTGGTCCATATTGTGATGAGGTGCAACAGAGTCCAAATATTTTGATTGTGTAGATTCAGATGCCAGATCACCAGCCTATAATATTTCTCAGTCATCAGGTACTTCTAAACATGAACACTGTTAAGGCCTTATGGATAGATGGAGTTCAAATTATGATATAACCAGATTTATCTATATTTTATATTGTATTATAATGTGACTATAAAGGATCTATTACTAATATCGTAAGCATCTTTTGATATTCCTTTTAAGTGTTTATTTTTATTTTTAGACTTGGTGTTCAACATGATGATAATCCTAGATGTAAAGAAATGAAAGTTACAAAGTATCATGTAATGGCCCCTGCTTTAAGTTTTCACATGAGTCCTTGGAGCTGGTCAAACTGTAGTCGGAAATATGTTACTGAATTCCTAGAGTAAGTAAATTTATGTTAAATAATTGAACATGTATTCGATTATAAGATTTGAAATTGATATTTTTAAAGGTGGTTCAATTTCTGTTTAGCTTTTTCTTGTTTAAATTTATGTTTACTTTCACTGTACAAATGGATGTTTAAGAACAAGAAGAGTTGTGTTCATGTGTACATATATATATATATACATGTATATAATTTCACTCTTTAAAATAAATATTTTTATTGTAGTTTAGACCTAGCTATTATTTTTTTATTCTGGATTCTTTCTTGTGATGAAAACTATGTTTGATGGGAGACTTAATGGGAATTCCAGTTTCCTTATGTGTTTTTGAATTTTTTCGAAGTGACTAGGTAATATTTTGAGAGAAATTTGAGTGGCTCAAGTTTGAGGTGCCCCTGAAGGACAGAGAATAGCTAAAGTCAAACTACGAATTATTCTGTTAGTTCTCTAAAGCCACAGAGATGCCAAGTCTCTAACTTTACATATTCTTTCAGGAGCTCTTTCTAGCTCTGCAGAGAGGTAGTAGATCCAGGTTTTTCTTGCCTCATTTCTCCACCTTCCTTCAGGTTTCTCTGCTTCCCAATTTCTTTTATCCAAATGGTGTTTCTTTCTCAGTCACTGAAACTTTTCCAAAAGGCAAGCCTGAGCTCCTTCCCAATAATCTTTTTGTATAAATGTAACACTACTTCACTTCTTCTATGGATGTATTCTAAATCATCAATTATCATCAGTTATTTTCTAATTCCCTCTTTATGAAACCTATGGGGAAAAATAAAATCATGCTTTGGAACATATATTTATAAATATATCCTCAAATTATAACCAACAGTGATAGTACATACTTCTATAGGAGCTTGACTTAAAAGCACAACTTAATACTTGCTGATCTGTACAGAATTGTATATAGCTTTGTTCAATGGTTAAAAATACTGATGTGACATGTAAAAATACCAATGGTGCACTTTTCTTTTTAGAAGGGAGTAATATTTTGATTTTCTTCAAAGGAAATTTTTAAGCTTACATGTTCATTTAATTGGAAAATTTATATTTTTCCTTTTAGCCAGTAAAATTTTTCAAAAAAGATTTATTTTAATTATTGCAGTGGGACAAATTGTTGCTCTTAGCCCAATTGGAATAGCTGTATATTTCCACAGAGCTTTCTGCATACCGGACATTGCATGGTAAATTAGGAGTAATATGTATATTTCTCATGTTTTTCCTAAGTCATTCAAACATATCATGTATTCTGATAGCATGTTAAAAGATATTACCACTCTCAATTTACAGATGAGGAGACTGTGGTTCAGGGAGAGAGGGAGATTAAAAAATTTTTCCATGGCCATGCATCTTAGGAATTGATGGGAACCAAAATGTAAGCTCCCAAAGCCAGTGATCTTGACTCTGCTATACTCCCACCTTGAAAGACCTCTTGAGGTGGAGACAGCATAAAACTTTTTGAAGCTTCTTTGTTGTTGTTGTTGTTGTTTAGGACTAGAAATATACTTTCTCAAGTGATTTTAAAACTTATTTTTCCAACATTTTAACAGTTAGTCATTACACTTGAGGCATTACTATTGGATAGCAAAGTAGACCAAAAGTGTGATATGGATGTATGTTTCATAAATAATGTTCTGATGAATTTGTGTTTATTGCTTATCATTTTTTAAAATTGCCACCTTCAAGATGGTTGTGGGGATTAAGTGCAAACATGCATATTAAAGATCCTTTGTAAACTGTGAGGTCATCCTTATGTGTACGAACATTGCTATACTGATATTGATGTGAGTTGGTTTTTAAAGTTATGAATAAATACTGATATTCTCTTTGAAAGTAAAGAACTACAAAAAATGTGATAAAGAATCATACTGGAATGCATCCATGTGTATTCACAATATTTTATTTTCTGTCACTGTTACAGTACTGGTTACGGGGAATGTCTTCTTGACAAACCAGATGAAGAAATATATAATCTGCCTTCAGAACTTCCTGGATCACGATATGATGGAAACAAGCAGTGTGAGCTTGCGTTTGGTCCTGGGTCACAAATGTGTCCCCATATAGTAAGAAAAGAAAATTCCTTTATTTTGTTCGAAAACTGCCATAAAGTTATCTTAGAATATATTTCAAAATGTGTTTATTCTCTTGAACTAAATATAGCTTTTAAGTCTGATAATTTAGTATTTATCAAAAAGAGGTTAAGAAAAGGAAAATTAAAACTTATTGACTACTTATTATGTGTCAGGTACTGTTTTGGGTACTTAAAAATTATCTTTGTTAACTCTCAAATTCCTATGAAGTATTCTCATTTAGAAAATAGGGAAGTTATATAATTTGAAAATAAAATCATTGAAATATTTATTTTCAAATGATATTATTTTGAGGTTAAGGAGAAAATATAGGTGTGTTGAATCTGAATTGTTTTAAAGGCACCAGGAATCTAACTAATAGAGTACATTTTCCTTTACATATATTTGAATTCAAAAGAATTAAATTTGGGGCATATTGTTTAGTTTTTCATTGAGCTATTATTTTATAATATTTTGAGGATTTTTCATAGATGAGATACCTTTGTCATTGAAATAGTTGATCCTAACACTTTTATTAGATCTATAATTATGATTTTCTTTTATATGGGGGTAAATTTAGGATTTAGTTTAGAATAAATGTCACTGCTTTGGTGAATCCATGCTTTACTTTTCCATGTAGAGTACTCATTCAGTTTTCCTTATTCCCTATATATTTTTGCCTAATTGCTTCCCTCCCTACTAGGTTGTGAGGATCATTGGACCAATTCCGGAATGTAGACTTATTCAGTCATTAAAATAAATATCTATATCTATTCCTAGGGTCCAGTTTAGGATTTGTTGCACAGTATATGCCACAAAATAAATGCTTATTGAATGTTGAAAGAATTAATTAATTAGAGAATGTAGGACAGGCAAAACTTATTTCATATAGCGACTATTCTTCCTAAAACCTTAAATTTCAATAAGCCTTTAAACATTTACTGTGAAATGGGGAAGATTTACCTTAAAATATCATTGTAAAAGATACATTTCTTTCCAATCTGATTTAGACACTAAATAAACTTTGAATTTAAATTCAGAAAAAGAAAGGAATTATATTGGGTATAGCTCGTATGACTCTCTGTGGACTTTTGTTTCTTTCGAAACCTTCAGAGCCCTTTGTTCAAAAGTTGAAAGTATGCATTATATTCACAAAATAGGAAACTTCAGTATACATTATACATTATTTCAATGCAGATTATTCATACATTCCACTATTGTATCAAAAGCGGCTTTTGGCAAATTCTTATGAATAATATTTAACAATAAAAAGTTCTTTAGAAAGATATCTTGTAAAGAGAGAAAACTATCTCAAATAATTTTGAAAATTTCCACTCCAATTCATAACTCCTATTCAATGTATGAATAAAATTTTTTTAAAAAGTTTTAAAGAAAATGTCACAATTTTATGTATTTAGAAGAAAATTAATGACTAGAACTTAGTAAAAAAATTTGCTGATTAGTTTCAGCTTATACCATGGAACTAGGTAACAGATCAATTTATAAATCAATGTGTAATACTGAATTGAACCAGTGTTGTGGTGTTATCTTTACACTGGCTTGCCTGCCTTTTGTTACTCAGGAGAATATATGCATGCATCTGTGGTGCACAAGCACAGAAAAGCTTCACAAAGGCTGTTTCACTCAACACGTGCCACCAGCAGATGGAACAGACTGCGGTCCTGGAATGGTAGGTTTTCTTGAAGGGTGAGTCTTGTATGAAGATATTATCCAAGGATGTGATTGCTCTGCATTTTAGCACTCTGTTTGTTATTTGCTGTCAACTTTTCTTCAGCTAGTCGAATTAATGTTATTGCCATGTTTGTTTGATATAGTACATTGTCAATGAATTAAATCTTTAATTTTACCCTATTTCTAAGCTATGGCAGATGAATATTAAAGTTTTGTATAGTTAGCATATAAATAATTACATGGATATATAGTTATCTATGTATATTATAACATTATTATTAAAATTGAGGACAGATATAACAGTCCTAATATTTTGGCAAATTCTCCAAATTCAGGGATGTTTTCATTTCATACGTTTTCTCCCTTAAAATTCCGTTAATACAATTGAAAGTTTTAAGTGGCTTCTTTAGACCTTTATTGTTTCTAAGTGTATCAAGATACATTATACCGCTAAAATCAACCACCTACCATGCTAGGTCTTTATTATTCCAACAGTCATGAACTTATCTAAAGCTGTCAACATGATGTTGAATAACGCTCACCATGATAATGAAAAGTGTCTTGTGAGAGGATGAAGTCAGAGTGTACTTTGTGCTCCAGGATGGCCTCAGTGGCCAGTGTTGACTACATTAAGTGTTTAGTCTGTCAGCATCTCTGAGCTCCCTCAGTGTAAAAGGAACACTTCCTTGGCAATGGATTGGCTAATTGTGCCTCTTTGTTACCTTCACATTAGCCAAAAAAGATAAACTGCTTAAAAATAAGGTCAGTTCAGTAGCTGAACTTTGCCTTTACCACTTCTTGCTTCCTTGAAATATTTATAATAGCTATTGCTTTTCTCTTGAATCACTTGCATCAAAAGGTGTGTGTTTCCTGTGAATATTGCTCACATCACAAATTAATTGGTTACTAATATATTATTTGGAACTTCAAGTTTTGTAGCAGCTGAAGTACTCATTGAAATCATCTAACACACTAATAACCTTTTTGTAATTTTAGGACGAAAGTTCTAGTGGGCTTTTTCAGTTCAGCTGGCTTTGAATTTTAAAATTCAATCTTTATATAATGTTTCTGTTTGGTGGATAAGAGTTATTTAAAGGACTTTATTTTTTTCTCGGTTCCTGTGACTAGTATTAGTAAATAGCTTTTTGAGTAAGAGGTGGTATTTGTGAGAGTGACTACCTGAGGCTCAGCAGAGGAAAAAAAATCTTTTTGAAGTATGAATGCTGGGCTGCTGATATGGGCACATTTGAAGATGTGCTCCAAGATGTTCACCTGATTAAAATCCAGGACTGGCACCTTCCTCTGTTCCTTAGCAACTTTTCAAGTTACTGTATGCCATGAACCTTCAGGATTGATTGCTCGTGGCAAAAGTGTGATTGATATATTTACAAATATTAAGAGATATACTATTTATAGCTAATTTATTAATATTCTAAATCCAGTTAGGGCATAAACATGATTTTTTGAAATTAAGGTATATATGAGTATAATGCATAGATCTTAGGTATACAATTTGATGGATTTTAACAAATGTGGATGCACATACAGCCAACATCCCAATAAAAATGAGAACATTTCTATCACTTTAAAAAGTTCAGTTGTGGCTGGGCACGGTGACTCATGCCTGTAATCCCAGCACTTTGGGAGACCGAGGCAGGCGGATCACCTGAGATCAAGAGTTCAAGACCAGCCGGGCCAACAAGGCAAAACCCCATCTCTACTAAAAATACAAAAATTAGCCAGGCGTGGTGACAGGCGCCTGTAATCCCAGCTACTCAGGAGACTGATTCAGTATAATCGCTTGAACCTGGGAGGCGGAGGTTGCAGTGAGCCGAGATCACGCCTTTGCACTACTAGGGGACAAGAGTGAGACTTCGTCTCAAAAAAAAAAAAAAAAAAAAAAATATATATATATATATATATATATAATTTAGTTGTGCCTCTTATCTAGGCAACTCTCCTTCCTTCCAGAGAAAACTCCTATTCTGATTTTTATTTCCAGAGATTCGTTTTTTTCTTGTTCTTGTAAGTAGAACTATACAGCGTCATCTTTTTTGAAGGAGTGGAATGGGACAGGCGTCTTTTGTTCAACATAATATTTTTAAGCTTCATCCATATTATTGTGTGCATTAGCAGTTCATTCCTTTATACCACAGTATAATTCAGCTATACAGATGTACTATAATTTATCAATTCTCCTGTCAATAGATATTTGAATCATTTCTTGTGTTTGGTTATTATGAATAAAGCTGCCATGAACATCCCTGTACAAGTCTTCTTGTAGACATACGTTTGTGTTTCTCTTGGTGTAGAATTGCTGGATTATAGGGTGAGTGTATGTTTAACATCATAAGACAGTGCCAAACAGTTTTCTGAAGTATGTGCACCATTTTAGACTCCCCCCAGCAATGGAGTAAAGTTCCAATTACTCTGTATTTCTTGCCGACTTTTGATACTGTTAGTCTTTAAAAAAAATTTGGCCATTCTACTAGGTATAAAATGGAATCTCATTGTGGTTTTAACTTGTATTTCCATGATTATTATCAATCTTATGCATTTTTTCATATGCTTATTAGCCATTTGAATATTTTCCCAATGAGATGGTAGGATAGGCATGGATTTATTGAGATTCAAGGTAAATGTGATGAGATGCTAAGATTTACTTTAGAGCCAATGCAGATTGAAAGCAAAGGTGGTATTTGGGGTAGCATCATGTGGATTATAATAGGTATAAATTATCTTTTTTAAATTAATAAAACACAGTGAACCCCTATATATTTAGCTGTATTCAGTATTAAATAAACCTTTTATTGAAGGGACATTTGAAACAAATATTCTATAATTTTGCCTTAACATTCTTCTTTATTCTGTTTATCTTGTGACTATCTAATGAGTGTGTGTGCTGAACACTTTTGGTAGTAAATCAATTTGTGTGAAGCCATGGTGAACCCTTCTGATAATGAGTTAATTTTACTACATGGTGAATAGTATAACGTTATAACTTTTTCATGCTCTAGTCTATCAAATTATTTTTTAAAAAGAGTAAGGATTACTTAAATTTTTTGTGCAAGATGCTAACAAAATGCACACGCACATAGTACATTATGATTTTTTTTTCACTTCTAATATGGCTTTCTTATATTGAATGACTTTTTCTAATGGAGAGCACAAAGCATTTTTACTGCTATAAGCTTGGCTGTAGGTTTCATTCAATCAGCAAAGATTTAACAAGGGCCTATTATGTCAGGCACTATTTTAGGTACACTATTTCTCATTTTCTTCTGTTGCTGTAGGATACATGAGTTAACAAAACAGACAATATTACCAGGGGGTCCTTGCTCCCAGAGCTCCCAAGATGGTGGCAGGCCACTTCCAAAATGGTGGCAGGCCACTTCCAAGATGGCGGCAAGCCTCGTTTTCTCTGACCTGGGGTTCTTGGCCTCACAGATTCCGAGGAATGGAATCTTGGGCCATGCTGTGAGTGTTATAGCTCTGTTAGAAGCCATGGGTCATGGAAGAGAACCATGGAACCCGGTGACTAGTGTTCAGCCTGATTAGGATGAACCCAGGCACTTAGCCATGCAGGAACAATGGCAAGCCTTTAGCCCTGTGGGGAGCGGCAATGGGCATCTCGCTGGATCAGGAGCACAGCAGACACCCTGTTGGATCCGGAGGGATGGAAGTCAGCAGCAGGTCCGCGATGGCAGCAAACAGCAGTGGTAGGCGGCAAGTGAAAGCTCAGCTCCAGCTGTAACAAACATGGACCAGAAGAGTGCAGCTGCAAGATTTAATAGAGTGAAAACAGAGCTCCCATACAAAGGGAGGGGACCCAAAGAGGGTAGCCATTGCAGGCTCGAATGTCTGGGTTTATATCCGGATCATTGTCCCTCCTGCTGTGCTCTCAGGTGATAGATGATTGGCTATTTCTTTACCTCCTGTTTTTGCCTAATTAGCATTTTAGTGAGCTCTCTTTACTACCTGATTGGTTGGGTGTGAGCTAAGTTGCAAGCCCTGTATTTAAAGGTGGATGCAGTTACCTTCCCAGCTAGGCTTAGGGATTCTTAGTCAGCCTAGGTAATCCAGCTAGTCCTGTCTCTCAACAAGATCTCTGCCCTTATGTAGCTCAAGTTCTAGAGGGAGACTAGAATATTACAAATAATTAATATAATAGTACCATCAAACTGATTGGTGCCACACACCAGAAAAATAGAGCAGGAAGCTGATTAGAAGTTTTATAGTAGGAGAGGGCAGATTGCAATTTAAAATATGATGGTCAGGACAGACATTATATGAAGTTACCAAATTAGCTGTCTTAAAGGAGATGAGAGGGTTAGCTATGAGGATATCTGGGGTAAATGAGTTTCCAACAAAGGGAACAGCTGAGCTCCTAAGTCTGGAGTATGCCTGGAGTATTCAAAGAAGAGCAAGGAGGACATTTTAGCTGGAGTGAAGTGAAGAGAGAAAGAGACTTATAAGAAGTAACTGAAGGAAGATTTCGTAGGGCATTGCAGGTGTGAAAGAAAAATATCTTGGGACCCTTCAACTTGGGAACGTCTCAGGACAAACCTGCTTCCTAGTCTATTCAAGTCATCACTTTGCTCACAGAGATAGATGGATATTCTGATTGCCTCCTTTGGAAATACTTATCAGAAACTCAAAAGAATGCAACCATCTGTCTGTCACCTACCTGTGACCTAGAAGTCCCCATTGGGGGGTGGGGAGGGGCTTGCTTTGAGCTGTCTCCACCTTTCTGGAGAGAACTAATGTACTTCTTATGTATTGACTGATGTCTCATGTCTCCCTAAAATGTATAAAAACAAGCTGTGCCCCCACCACCTTTGGCACATGTCATCAGGACTTCCTGAGGCTATGTCATGGGCATGCCCTCAACCTTGGCAAAATAAACTTTCTAAATTAACTGAGACCTGTCATAAATTTTTGGGGTTCACACAGGCCATTGTGAGAACTGCATATTTACTCAAAGTAAAATAATGAAAGATTTGAATGGATTCATACCTGATTTGACTTAGTTTAAAAAGAGATCATCCTGGCAACTGTGTTAAGGCTAAACTGTCGGGGACAAGAGTGGAAACAGACATCTACTTAGCTATTTCAGTGATAGAAGTAAGGGATGCTAGTGCTCAAACCAGAGTAGTAGTAGTGAGATAATGAAAGGTCAATTTTTGATATATTTTAAAAGGAACTAGAACATTTATTCTAGCTAATGTATCAGATGTGGAGTGTTCAAAGAGGAAGAAGAGAAATGATGACTAGGCTTTTGGCTGAACAACTTAGATCAACTTGGTAAAAGTAGGTTTTGAGTTGGGAAGGCAGGAATTCAGTTTTGGATATGCTATGCTTGAAATGTTTATTAGACATTCTAGTAAATAGTCATAAGTAAGCAGGCATATATATGAGTCTGGAGTTTAGGAGAGAGATCTGGACTAGAAGTAACTCTTAATAGTAAAGAATTAAAAAACCAAGATATGAGCCTGGAGAGACATTCCAACATTAAGTTGTCACAGAGAAGAAGATAATTTAAGAGAGAGATCTGGACTAGAAGTGACTGTTAACAGAAAAGAATAAAAAAACTAGATGTGAGCCTGGAGAAACATTCCAACACTAAGTTGTCACAAAGAAAAAGAAAAAACAACAGAAGAAAATGAGAACAATTAGTTTTGAAGAAAGGAAGAAAACCAAGTGTGTAGAGCCCTGGAAATGAAGAGAAAAAAATTATGTCAAAGAAGAAGCATGATTAATTGTGCACACATTGCTGATAAGTCAAGGAAGACAGAGAATAAGAACTGGCTATTGGTGTCCTACACATTGTTAAATATAGTGAACCCCAGGTTTCTCTTCAAAGAATCAGTATGTCAGTATGTTCAGCTCTCTTATTCTTTGATTCTCCATTTTAAAGTTTAACTTCCTGGTTCTTTTTGCCTCCTTGTCTCTAGTTTCAGTAAACAACTTTCCTGCCATTCCTAATCAGTAATTCATATCTGTTCCCCTGGTTACCTGCTCTGACCTAAGTCATCTTTAGTTACCTGTTCCTACCCATCCTTCCCACCAAACTACTCACCCCGCCACTCTGGCTTGTACTCCTGCTCTTTTTAAAAGAGCCAATCGGAATTAGCTTAGACTATGCAGTCCAACCCTAGCCAGTAGGGAATGACACAGCAGTAGGGTCTATCTGTGTCAGGAGTAAGAACTCCTGCCCCTGCCCTGTCCAGGTGTGCTCTTGCCATTGTTCCATCTGTGAGGAGCACCCTTTTTGCAGAAAGGAAAAATTGCCTTGCTGAGAAACTTAAATTTATGTTCGAGTGCTATTTCTTTGCAGCACCGAGGAACAAGCATTTTGCATTTCTAACAATTTGAGCAGATTCATGGAGGAATAGGATATATTCCTCATGGGGCGGGGTTATGAGAGAATAGACAGGGAGTTAAAGAATGTACATGGCCGACTCTTTCAAGGAGAAGCAGAGCAGTAGCTGGTAAGGGCAGTGAGATCTAAGAAAGGTTTTGTTGTTGCTATTGTTTTCTTAAAGTGAGAGAAATAACAGCTGTGTTTGTATGTTAATGAGAATAATCTAGGCAACTACTTTGTGAATTATCTGTAGTGATAATCTAGGAAACCACTTTGCAAATTATCTGTAGTAAAATATTGTCTTTGTTCTTTTTTAAAATTTCTGATTATTTATAAACTGATACTTTTGTACAAAGTAATAAAAATTATTGACTAGGAAAATGAAATGCAAAAAAGACATCCAAAATATAAGCCATATTTTTCTATGGGAAACAGTGTGGCCATTCCTCACAAAATTATTAATCGAATTATCATATTCTCCAGCTATTCTACTTCTGGATATATACCCAAAGAATTGAAAGCAAGATTTCAAAGATATATTTGTACACTCATACTCATAGCAGCATTTTTCACAATATCTAAAGGTGAAAGCAGGAGTTTGAGACCATCCTGGCCAACATGGTGAAACCCTGTCTCTACTAAAAATACAAAAATTAGCGGGTTGTGGTGGCGTGCGCCTGTAGTCCCAGCTACTCAGGAGGCTGAGGTAGGATAATCACATGAATGTGGGAGGCGGAGGTTGCGGTAAGCTGTGATCACGCCACTGCACTCTAGCCTGGGTGACGGAGCGAGACTCCATCTCAAAAAAAAAAAAAAAGATGAAAGCAACCCAGTGTCCATTGATGGATGAAAGGATAAATAAAGTGTGGTAAATGCGTATGTTATGGTTTGAATGTTTGCCCCCTCCCAAACTCATATTGAAATTTAATTGCCAGTGTAACAGTATTGGGAGATGGGGCCTGTTTGATAAGACTAGGGCATAATGGCTCTTCCCTCACCGGTGGGTTTAATGCCTTATAAAAGGGCCTTCAGGATTGAGCTGTCTCGGTCCTTCTGCATTGTGCTCTGTGAGGATCCAGCATTCTCTCCCTACAGAGGATGCAGTGTGCAAGGTGCTATCTTGGAAGAAGAGAAAGGCCTCATCAGACACCAAACCTGCCGGTACCTTGACCTTAGATTTCCCAGATCTCAGACCTGTGGGAAATGAATTTCTGTTATTTATAAATTATCCAATCTTGGGTATTCTTATATAGCAGCACAAAATGGACTAAGACAACATACAATGGAATATTATTCATTTTTAATAAGAAAATTCTGACACATGGATGAAGCTTGGGCATATTATGCTAAGTGAAATAAGCCAGTCACATGAAGACTAGTACTATATGATTCCAATTGTATGAACTATCTGGAGTAGTCAAATTCATAGAAACAGAAAGTAGAATGGTGGTTACCAGGAGGTAGCAGGGAGGACAAAATGGGAGTTGTCATTTAATGGGTATAGGGCTTCAGTTTTGCAAGATGGAAAAGTTCTGGAGATTGGTTGCACAACAATGAGTATACCTAACACTATTGAACTATATGCTTAAATATGGCTAAGATGGTAAATTTTATGTTATGCATGTTTTGCCACAATTAAAAATAAACATAAGCCAATTTTTAAATTATTTACTTAGACATAAAATTTCTCTGTAAAAATCTTACAAAAATTTCTTAATGCTTACTCTCAAGTTGTGTTATTGTCTCTCAGTCTGGAAACTAATTCATAGACTGGCATGAGTGCATGGTCATACTTTGATTAGCTATCACTGAAATGATGATATAGAAGAGATGAGAGAATTGCTGGAGTGATGTTTGGTGTAGTGAGAAGGGATGGATTAAGTACACAAGCAGGGGGATTGACTTTGTCTGGGATAGTGAATTTTCCATGTGTGCTAACAGGTAGCAAGGCTGAATGTGAGTGCAGATGCTGTTGAATGGGTAGAACAGGTGGTGAGAGACTGTGGGTAGATTCTTCTGTAAGTTTCCATTTTCCTGATGAAAGTAAAGGAACAAGGTTGTCATTTGAGACTTCGGATAGAATAAAGTAGAAAGCTTTTTATAAGAGTGGAAGAGTGTATAGATACTTTGAGTAAAAAAATGGAAGGATGGAAATATACCATATTAACCTGGTATTTGGTTTCTTCTATTCAAAAAATACCCGCCATATTCCATTTTACTATTTAATTTTTCCTTCCTCCCCAATGACACTCTAAATCTTAAAGCCAGAAGAAATATTACACTCCTTTTCTATTCCACAGATCTTAGTAGGTAGGAAATATTCATAAAATCATTTCAAATGTAATCTGAATTAATAACAGCTAGCTTCAAATTGTTTAGTTTGTTCTTCTGTTGATCTTTATGCTGCTATTATAATTTTTGTGATGTTCTAATTAGAGACACACATCATTTCTTTTTGTGCTTATTATTTTTATAGCATTGCCGTCATGGGCTATGTGTAAACAAAGAAACGGAAACACGTCCTGTAAATGGTGAATGGGGACCATGGGAACCTTACAGTTCTTGTTCAAGAACATGTGGAGGCGGAATCGAAAGTGCAACCAGGCGCTGTAATCGTCCTGAGTATGTCTTTTTTATGTCACTATAAATTAAGATTATCTCAAGGCACCAGAAAGTAAACATCAGTTTCACTCACTTCTAAAACTGGAGGTCAGTCCGTAAGTTTCTGAGATTCAGAAAATTTCTGGAGCACTTTAAGTCACATTGATTTATATTTTGGTAGATTCAGACATTTAAAAAAAAAAACATAAATAGATTAAATTTTATAATCTGAACTGAGATCCATTTTCTTCATTTTTTTGTTTTTTAATTTAGTATAAATTTTGAGATATAAATATGAATCACAGTTATATAATGTCATTTTCACATTTACTGTATGCCTAATGAAACATCCTGGCTACTTTCACTTATGTTTCGGATCTTCTGGATAACATATATAGTTTGGTTACCAATTTTTTACCGTTTTGTGCATTGTGACATGTGATACTTTATTTTCTCTGCTTCTTGTGTTATAGACGCATCATTGTCTTTAGCTGAATAAGTACTAAAGCATATCTCCCCCTCATCAAACTATTTAAAAGGGCTTAGATATTGCATTAAGATTTTAAATTAATGTTTTTGTTGTATATATGATATATAAGTTGGTAAGCAATATGATACTCTTTACTTAAAGTATTATTAATAAGCATTTTTAATGCAGAAATGTGACTTACTCTGAATAAAATCTTGGCTCATTTAAATTTTAGGATAAATTATACTAGAAGTCTTTATATTCCAAAAATTCTGCAAAAAATTTTATTTTCCAGCATAAGTCAAAATAACATGGATATAGATTGATACCATAAAACTCCTTGAATTGAGTGATAAATAAGATATACATGACAGATGTGTATACATTTCCTTTTTATTTAACATGGCACCTGCCTTTGTTATTGTCTTTGGCTCACCACATGTCTTTTCTTCTTTCCAGAAAGTGAGCAAACCCTTTTTTGGAAGTTTAAGAAAAAACTTCCATTGTTGGTTTCTTGCTAGTTAACCTAGTCAAGAATAAGGTATCGTTTCTGCCCTCTAGGCTCACTGTCCACGTTAAGGTGGATATTTTTGTGGTTCATTATGCATAGAATTGCGTAAAACTCATGTTACATACTTCTGTTAAAAAGTGTTAGTGGGACTTCACTGGTTTTCTAGATCCTGGAAAAGAATGGAACTTTTAGAAGTAAGTGGCACAAATAATGTTGTACTGATGTGCTTTAAAATGTAATGAATTTGACTAGGCCAAGAAACGGAGGAAATTACTGTGTGGGCCGCAGGATGAAATTTCGATCATGTAATACTGATTCATGTCCAAAAGGCACACAAGACTTTCGAGAGAAGCAGTGCTCTGATTTTAATGGTAAACATTTGGACATCAGTGGCATTCCCTCTAATGTGAGGTGGCTTCCAAGATACAGTGGCAGTAAGTAAATTATGCTGGTTCTTTGATGTAAATTTTTCTGAGACGTAAGAACACATAGCTTTATTATTATACATTAAAAATTTGACCTTTTTCTTTTTTACAGTTGGCACAAAGGATCGTTGTAAACTCTATTGTCAGGTTGCTGGAACCAATTATTTCTACCTATTGAAGGATATGGTTGAAGATGGTACTCCTTGTGGAACTGAAACTCATGACATCTGTGTTCAAGGCCAGTGTATGGTAAGTAAACTATAAGTTTCTATTAGATTTAAAGTGACTTTAAGAATAATGTTTTTTTTCGATTTATATAACCAAATATTACTTTTACTATTTCAGCATATGTTCTTATGCATTCCAACAAAGCAACCTTTGTTATCATGCTATCTATAGAAGTATGGTTAGCCTGGTTACTGGGAATTCTCTGTCATCAAGAATGCCTCAACAAAGCATTAAGATAAATTTGATGACTTTCTGTGGTCTATTGTACTCATAATCAAAATAGGAATGAGGTCAGCTTCCTAAAAAGATAGAAAATAATAAGATAAAAGGATTGTAAGGAGATTTTGCTACTTTAAGTGTAAGCTTCTACAGTAATGTTTTCCTTGTCCGTTGAAACCATTGATATTCTCCCTTCCTCTTTCCAGCTCTCTGTCACTTATTTTTTATGTACATTCAACAAACATTGATTGAGTAGCTACTAGATGTCAGATACTGTTCAAGTCACCAGGATAAAAGACTGGAGCAGAGAACCCCACTTCCAAGATGGTCACAGATTTGTGGGGGAAATAGGCATGTAAACAATTAGAATGCACTGCTATGGGTCATCTGCAAGGTAGCATGGAGATATTGAAAGGAGTTTCTTATTTTATGGGGAGGTGGGTAAAGGATTCAGAGAACCTTTTATGGAGCGCATAAGACTTGTGCTAAGTATTGAAATGAGTAGGTTTTAGGAAGATGAGGAAGTATGGGAGCAGAGTTGGAGTTAGGGACTAGCAGATGGTTGTCAAATGCACTTTTTTTTTTTCTTAACTCCTTGGAAACACATAGAAGCATTTGAAGTCAAGGGAGAGATGTGATTCGATTTGCATATTGGAATCTTCAAAATACTGGGTTTAGAAGATTGGAGGCAGGTGGTCCATTTAACAGGGTTGTAGGTCAGAGCAGATGAGATGCTGAGTTAAAGCACAAACATTGCAATGGCAGTCTTGAGAATGGATGGCGAGTTTGAGAACTAAGATAGTGAATGTGGTCTAAAGAATATAGTAAGTGTACTTCTATGAGATCAACTTTTTTAGATTCCACATATGAATGGGATCATATAGTATTTGATTTTTGGTGTCTGGCTTATTTCATTTAACCCAGTGTCCTCCAGGTTCATCCATGTTGTCACAAATGGCAAGGTTTCCTCTTCTTTATGGCTGAATAATATACCATTTTGTATATAAACCAGATTGTTTAAATCCATGCATCCACTGATGGACACTTAGTTTGATTTCATATTTTGGCTATTGTGAATAGAGCTGTGATAAACATGGGAGTGTAGATATCTCTTTGATATACTAAATTCATTTCCTTTGGAAGTAGTGAGGTTGCTGGATCATATGGTAGTTCTATTTTTAGTGGATGTTATGTGCTGTCACCACAAAAATGATAACTATGTGAGGTTATGCATTTGTTAATTAGCTAGATTTAACCATTCCTTAATGTATTGATATTCTTCAAAACATTATGTTGTACATGATAAAAACATACAATGTTATCTGTCAGTTTGAAAATAAAAGATAAAAAATAATTAAAAATATAAGTATAAGTTATGAACTTATTCCTTCAGTTAAAGTGGAGCTCTATAGGGCCAACTTCATCTCCCCATGAACAAATACCTTTTACCTTATCTCAGTGATAAAGGCTGTTCACCCAAAGAGCTAATGAGATGTTCAAAGAGAATTAAAATAATTTAAGTCGGAAACAGTTTAAATACTGAAAAGGTTATTCAGTGGCCTGAAAAAAGTTGTGCTTTAAATTAGCAGCATAAAGTCATATGACAATGCAAAAGTTATGATGAAGATTATCTGAACATATAGAGGCATGCTACTTTCAGAAAATATATGCTTAACATTTTGATTTTGAAAATATCTGCCTTGTGTATAAAAAAATTCACTAGGCTTAAGAAATTTTCTTTGCTGATCACTAAATTTAGAAGGCCATTCCAAACAATGGAAAGAGTTATTGCAATGTATGCAGAGGACAGCTTCTTCATGGAGAGGAGCTGCATTTGTTTTTTTGAAATTTCTGGAACAAGCCATCTACTTGTATATTCATTCATTTATTCATTCATTTTTAAAAATAAGCACTGTTATGCTGGGTATTAGTTTTAGAGAAAACTTTACTTTTAAATACTTATTTGAAGCTAAGACTATTTGCAGAGTTCTAAGGTCATGAGTTAAAATAATAACCATGGAAGTCATCTTTTTGGAGTATTCTAATGTGTTACTTACATACTCATACTTTAGTCTCTTTGAATTACATTTCTTTTAAGAGTGGTTTTCAAATGACAGTGGGTATTGGAATCAATGTCAGTGTTACAATGCAGATTCCTAGGTTTTATTTCCAAGTATTATAATTCAGAAGATCTGGGATACTGTCTTTTTAAATACCACCCCATGTGATGTTGATGCAGGAGGTCTGTGGATGACCCTTTAATAAACTTGGCTTTTTAAATGAATATGTGAAAATGTTACATACAACTAGATGAGTATATATTTTGAAACAATTCTGTTGTACTGAATCTCCTGTTAATTGAAAGGATATTTGTGAAAAGAACTTTGTAAACTTTAAAGCACCATGCTTATAGTTGGTCATTCTTTTTTTTTAACTTTTATTTTAGGTTCAGGGGTATATATGCAAGTTTTTTATACAGGTAAACTCGTGTAACAGGGTTTTGTTGTACAGATTATTTCATCATCCAGATACTAAGCCTAGTATCCAATAGTTACTTTTTCTGATCCTCTCGCGCCTCCTACCCTCCACCCTCAGCAGGCCCCAGTGTGTGTTGTTCCCCTCTTTGTGCCCATATGTTCTCATCATTTAGCTCACACTTACAAGTGAGAACGTGTAATATTTGGCTTTCTGTTCCTGTGTTGGTTTGCTAAGGATGATGACCTCCAGCTCCATCCATGTTCCTGTAAAAGACGTCATTTTATTCTTTTCTATGGCTGCATAGTATTCCTTTGTGTATATGTATCACATTTTCTTTATCCAGTCTACCATTAATGGACACTTAGGTTCATTTCATGTCTTTGCTATTGTAAATAGTGCTGCAATGAACATACACCTGCATGTGTCTTTATGGTAGAACAACTTATATTCCTTTGGGTATATATCCAGTAATGGGATTGCTGAGTTGAATGGTAGTTCAGTTTTTAGCTCTTTAGGGAATCGCCACACTGCTTTCCACAGTGGTTGAACCAATTTACACTCCCACCAACGGTGTATAACCGTTCTCTTTTCTGCAATCTTTCCAGCATCTTTTATTTTTTGACTTTTTAATAATAGTCATTCTGACTGGTGTGAGATGCTATCTTATTTTGGTTTTGATTTGCATTTCTCTAATGATCAGTGATATTGCGCTTTTTTTGTAGGCTTGTTGGCTGCATGTATGTCTTCTCTTAAAAGGTGTTTGTTCATGTTCTTTGCTCACTTTTTAATGGGATTGTTTTTTTTTCTTGTAAATTTATTTAAGTTCCTTATAGATGCTGGATAATAGACCTTTGTCAGATGTATAGTTTGCAGATATTTTCCCCCATTCTGTAGATTGTCTATTTACTCTGTTGATAATTTCTTTTGCTGTTCAGAAGCTCTTAAATTTAGCTAGATCTCATTTTCCAGTTTTTGCTGTTGCAATTGCTTTCGGTGTCTTCATCATGAAATCTTTGCCAGTTCTTGTGTCCAGAATGGTATGGCCTAGGTTGTCTTCCAGGGTTTTTATAGTTTGGGGTTTTACATTGAAGTCTTTAATCCATCATGAGTTGATTTTTTTATAAGATGTAAGGAAGGGTTCCGGTTTCAGTCTTCTGCATATGGTTAGCCATTTATCCCAGCACCATTTATTGAATAGGGAGTCCTTTTTCCATTGCTTGTTTTGATCAGCTTTGTTTAAGATCAGATGGTTGTAGCTGTATGGACTTATTTCTGGTCTTTCTATTCTGTTCCATTGGTCTGTGTGTCTGTTTTTGTACCAGTTCCATGCTGTTTTGGTTACTGTAGCCCTGTAGTATAGTTTGAAGTTGGGTAGCATGACACCTTCAGCTTTGTTCTTTTTGGTTAGGATTTCTTTGGCTATTCAGGCTCTTTTTTTGGTTCCATGTGAATTTTAAAATAGTTTTCTCTAGTTCTATAAAGAATATTAATGGTAGTTTTATAGAAATGGCATTGGATGTGTACATTGCTTTGGGAAATATGGCCATTTTAATGATATTGATTCTTCCTATCCATAAGCATAGAGTATTTTTCATTTGTTTGTGTCATCTCTATTGCTTTGAGCAGTGTTTTATAATTCTCATTGTAGAGATCTTTCACCTCCCTGGTTGGCTGTATTCCTAGGTATCTTATTCGTTTGGTGGCCATTGTGAAGGGGATTGTGTTCCTTATTTGGGTCTCAAGTTTGTTAATATTGGTGTGTAGGAATGGTAGTAAGTTTTGTACATTGATTTTGTATCTTGCAAATTTGCTGAAGTTGTTTGTCAGGTTAAGGAGCTTTTGGGCCGAGACTATGGAGTTTTCTAGATATATAATCATGTCATCAGCCAGCAGGGATTGTTTGACTTCCTCTTTTTCTATTTGGATGCCCTTTCTTTTTTTCTTTTTCCTGATTGTTCTGGCCAGGACTTTCAGTACTATGTTAAATAGGAGTGGTGAGAGGGCATCCTTGTCTTCTGCCAGTTTTCAAGGGAAATTCTTCCTGCTTTTCCCCATTCAGTATAATAGCTGTTGTGGGTTTGTCATAGATCGCTCTGATTATTTTGAGGTATGTTCCTTCAATGCCTAGTTTATGAAGAGCTCTTAACATGAAGGAGTGTTGAATTTTATTGAAAGCATTTTCTGCATCTATTGAGATAATCATGTGATTTTTGTATTTTGTTCTGTTTATGTGATGAATTGCATTTGTTGATTTGCATATGTTGAACCAAATTTGCACCCCGGGGATGAAGTCTACTTGATTGCGGTGGATAAGCTTTTTGATTTGCTGCTGGATTTGGTTTGCAAGTATTTTGTTGAGGATTTTTGTATCAGTATTCATCAAGGATATTGGCCTAAAATTTTCTTTTTTTTTTGTCGTGTCTCTGCCAGGTTTTGGTATCAGGATGATGCTGACCTCATAGAAGGAGTTAGGGAGGAGTCCCTCCTCCTCAATTTTTTAAATAGTTTCAGTAGGAATGGTACCAGCTCTTATTTGTACATCTAGTAGAATTCAGCTGGGAATCGTGTGATCCTGGGCTTTTTTTGGATGGTAGCCTACTTATTACTGATTCCATTTCAGAGCTCATTATTGGTCTGTCCAGGGATTCTCTTTCTTCCACCTTCAGTCTTGGGAGGGTGTTTGTGTCCAGGAGTTTATCCATTTCTTCTAGGTTTTCTAGTTCATGTGCATAGAGGTGTTCATAGTAGCCTCTGAGAGTTATCTATATTTCTGTGGGGTCAGTGGTAAATCCCCTTTGTCATATCTGATTGTATGTATTTGGATCTTCTCTCTTTTCTTCATAATTAGTCATTCTTATAATATTGATTGTAATTGTGTCTTGAAGGCAGCTGGTTGTGATCACGTGTTAAACTCCAGTGCCAAGATAGACAAATGTGGAGTGTGTGGTGGGGACAACTCTTCATGCAAGACAATAACAGGTGTCTTCAACAGTTCTCATTATGGTAAGTTGTGTATTTGTTTCTAGATTTCGCTTTTATTTAGTATAATAATGGAGTCTGTAAAGAAGGTGTAACAGTAATTCTTTGTTACTGTTTTGTCTACTCTATACCCTTAGTCCAAAATGATTGTTAAGGAAAAATTTCCTAAATATAAAAAAATTAAATACTGTATTAGACCAGATGTATCCTTGATTAATGAATTCACCTGCCCCAGGCAAATCTGATTCTTAAAAATGTATTAGGTGCATTTCTTAGAGTAAATTCAGTGCTATTTGACTGTGATGTGTGATATGTGAATAATCCTCCCATTAATGAAATGGTTTTTTCCCTATAACCTAAAATGTATATATTTGTGATTTTTCCCAGGAAACTTGCTTTCAAATATTTTCATTACTTGAATCACTTTCTTTTTTTGGTATGACTTGACCTATCTGTTACATTTCTTATTAATAGTACATAGAAAATGTTGATTGAAGGTGAAGGGTGAAACCATTATCTTATATATTTTCTGAATTAAATGTTTCAGAATTATTGTCACATTTGATTTTCCAGGCAGTATCTGGATCACATATTGGCCATAATTTAATTTTTCTCCAAAATATCATGAGACTATGTAAAGTATTTTCCATTGTAATGTTTTCTGGGCAATTTTTTTTTGTTTTTATGATAATTAAAGCAGATCTTTAAAACTTTCTTTGCAAATTAAATTTATTTCTTACAACCTTATTTATTCATTTATTTATTTAGAGACAGGGTGCTACTCTGTTGCCCAGGCTGTAGTACAGTGGCACAATCATAGCTCATTGCAGCTGTGAACTCTTGAGCTCCAGCAATCTTTCCACCTCCTCATCCCCAGTACCTAGAACTACAGGTGTTCACCACCATGCCCATCTAATTTGTGTGTGTGTGTGTGTGTGTGTAGAGATGGGTCTCAATGTATTGCTAGGTTGGTCTCAAACTCCTAGCCTCAAGGGATCCTTCCATCTCGGCCTCCCAAAGTCCTGAAATTACAAGCATGAACCACCACACCTAGCCTATTTTTTACAGTCTGACTGTTCAGCTTTAAATTGTGTTCATGTGTGTTCAAATTGTTACTTACTTCCATTAAAACAGTATAATTTAAAACTTAATATTTATGTTTTTATGTATGTGAAAAACATAGTACATTTTATACTCTGATATTTACAAATCTCGGTTACTAGATGATTTGATATATGATTTTTCTAGTTATTTCTTGGGAGCTACACACATTTGATTCCCTTCTATAATGCATGGCACATACTTATTACAGTCTGTATTTACTGAAAAATATTTTTTCCAGGATAAAGCCACATGAACCAAATTAAGATCAAATATGTAATCTTGTGAAAATTGTACTGTGCATTAATCAGTTTGCAAATAGAACAATGCGTTAAACTCATTTGCAAGGTCTGATTAGCATTTGTCACATTTCTGCCCCCTGGTGGTAGCCTTCATCTTGTCACCTTTGCAATGCCTTAGGCTTGCTTTCTTGAAAAAAATATAATAAATAGTAAAGATATAAATAGTAAAAGTAGTGGGTAAGAATATTTTATAGTGAAAAGGAGGTTAATTAAAATTATTCTTGTAGGTCAATAACCTACAACCAGTAGGCATATAGTGTATACCGAATCATGAAACTATTTCTTATCGTCTTACACTAAAAATGTGATGCCTTAGATATAAATAAGTCTGCTCTAAAACACATGCAAGATAGTCTGACATTAGGGTTGTAAATTTAAGCTCTTTTTGAACTGTCTTCTTAAGTTAATTCCATATTTATCAAAGGTAGTGTATGAGAAAAATTACTTTTTACTCATGGTGCAGTTAACTAGGAGGAAATCCTAATAAATAAGGAAAAGGAAAAACTTAGAATAATATCCTTAGAGTATAACTAATTGTATATTTAAAAACCTGCGTATTTGGACAACTATGTAATGTGAGTGTTTTTAGTTTTCATGAAAATGTTTTTTCTTAATATATGTTAGATAAAATGTTTCCTCTTTTGAGCAGTGCCAATGTCGCTGAATTTGGCTTCATAAAATGGAAATATTACATTCATTTCACTTGAGTAAACTTTTTACTTTTCTCATAACAAGTTTATTAGTATTCTTGTAAAAATAATGTAAAATTTGGGGAATAGATGAAGAGATTCCTGCTTATACTACAAACTAAAACTTGAGCTTTAAACTTTTTCTTTTTTTATGATTTTTCAATAATGAAATTGAAAAATTTCATTATTTTGCTGTTTACTGAGTCTGTGTGAATATATCATAGCAATGACCAATTATTTTAATATCTCCTGGACTTGTGAATTGTATTTGAAATCTTCTATTTTTTTCCCAGTATAAAATATAAAAGCATTAACAAAGCTTAAAAATGGGTATGTGTACTAAGGGTCTCAGGAGCTAAAATACTAGCTTCATTCCATTCTATATTAAGAATATTAGAAGTAGGAAAAGATTAGGAAAAGTTAAGAATCTTAAACTCTGTTTCTTGACAACAACCACTTTTTCTCAATCCTCAGTAATTTGTGTAAGGTACTGACTCAAAAAGAATAACCACTGTGTAATTTTGTAAAGACACAACAAAATTAAGTCTGACTATGCTATTCGAATTTTTCATCCATTCAGCAGTAATAACCTCTGGGCCATCTGCTTTTTGTGAAATTTAACATATGTAAAATTATATTGCAGGTTATAATGTTGTTGTAAAGATTCCCGCAGGAGCAACAAACGTTGACATTCGTCAGTACAGCTATTCTGGACAACCAGATGACAGTTACCTTGGTAAACATTTCTCGTAAACAACAGCCAGTATGTGGCTTATGTGCAATTTCATGGAAGTCTGTAGTTGATGTGAATTCTTGGAAAACAGGAGTCCCTTTAGCAAGCATGCAATTTCATTTCATACTGAGCTTAGCGCTCCCTATACATATGTTCTTAAGCACTCAAAAATGTATTACTTAAAAAAAAAAAACTTAATGAAATTCTGAACAATAATTTGTTTTCAGTTTTTTTCTCGTGTATTTTAGATAACCAGAAATTATATTCAATTAGTTGCATGTGTATTTAGAATAAAATTCTCTTCTATCATTTTGTCTAATATTAATTGTAGAATTCTTTGGGGTTAAATGTTTTAAATAATTTTCTTAATTTTTTTTTACTATGTAGCTAAAGTATTTAAATACAGTTTTGTAAAAGCTCTTGTATTTAAAAAAGTCAGAAAAAGAACTGTGGTTTCACATTTTTATATGTTAATGAATGTAGTCACAGTATATTGTCTGTTAGCTATTTCTAAAGTATAAACTTAATTTATGTTATTTATTTTTAGAAATTAGCTTTCAGGCTTAAAGAATTTCACTTTAGACACAAACATGAAAATGATGCTTTAAAAACCTTTTCCTTCTGCCTGTGAAATATCTTAATAGCGAGTTATCTATAATTCACCAAGCTGGAGTAGGTAGGTAATGGTGCAGAGCTGATATTGAGAAAGCATCTGCTGTACATTAATAAGATGTGAAATATTGACTCAAATAATTAACTTATGTAACTGGCAATCTGAATCTATAATGAACAGCCTATCTCAGGAATTGCATTTGGAACTATAAAGCCAAATGTAAGGGGAACAACTGCTTAATGAGTACAAGGTTTCCTTCTGGGGTGAACAGGTTTTGGAACTAGATAGAGGTGATGGTTGTACGTCATCGTGAATATACTAAATGCCATTGAACTGTTCGTTTAATGATGGTTAATTTTATGTTATATCAGTTTCACCTCAATACAAGATGCAAAATATTTATTAAAATCAAACATAAATAGTTTGATTTATTAGCCTTTTACATTTAGTTGAAATTCTTTTCCTTGTGCTAAAAATATTGCTTCAGTACATTTACATAGATATATGCTACCATATTGGAGATAAATAATTTAATAGGTATCTCTTAGATTCCAAATGTAGACAAATATATCTTTCTGGGACTGGATCACAGGTTATTCTCAACTTTAAAAATTAGAAATGTTGGCTGTGCATGGTGGCTCATGCCTGTAATCCCAGCACTTTGGGAGGCCGAGGCAGGTGGATCATCTGAGGTCAGGAGTTCGAGACCAGCCTGACCAACATGGCAAAACCCCGTGTCTACTAAAAATACAAAAATTAGCCGGACATGGTGGCGCATGCCTGTAATCCCAGCTACTCGGGAGGCTGAGGCAGGAGAATCGCTGGAATCTGGGGGGCGGAGGTTGCAGTGAGCTGAAATTGTGTCACTGCACTCCAGCCTGGGCAACAAGAGCAAAACTCTGTCTCAAAAAAAAAAAAAAAGAAATGTTCACCAATAAAGTATCAATATACTTTGTGAGAAAATTATAAACGGAAATATCAAAGTCTAAATTGAAGTGAGTAAAATAGACATGTGATGTCAATAGAAGGAATTTTTAAAACATTTATGTTTATGACGTTTGGTAACTAAAAGTAGTGAAATTTGTAGACTTTTTTTCTAAGCCAGTAAAGTTTTGTTTATTTCCCTTAAATTTAACATAACCAATAATCCCTTAAATAGACCTAGCCACATTTGATAAAGCGCAGATTCTTAAATAGAGGAATGTCTATGTCATAGACTAAATATAGATCTTTGTTTGTTCCTCACTGAATTCAGCGTAATACATAAAGACAGTTATACTAGTCCACATATACACAGAAACACCAAATTTATTTTACAATAATCCCTTCAATATTGCTTTTTCAGAGGGGTATTGTATTTATATTAGGAAGTTAGCCATAGATAATTGTGCGCTTTCGGTGAGGTTTCCTGGAATGCCAAACAAATGTTTTCTGGAAAGGTTATTATTCCATTGAAAAGTATAACTTAAGCAAGCAAAAAAGTATTTGATTAATATGGGGGTTTTCTTAGTGTAAAATTTTAGGTATTACACATCCTCTTGAAAATTAAAAATAAATAGCACAGTACTTTACAATTCACACACTTACAAACATTTTTCAAACTTGATCCTGATTAAAAGACTGAAATAGAAATGTTTATTATTTCTATTATGCAGTTTAGGAAACTGAGCATGAGGTTTGTCCAAGATTACATAGACATTAATCACAACAACTTAAACTTAAATCCATTGTTTTTATCCCACATTGATTTCTTTTTACTACGCATGATTTTGGGTGACATGTAATTTTATATTTAAAAAGTAATGTTACTAATACATACTATATAATTGTCTTCTCTATTTGTATATATATAGTATATAAATAAATATACACACATATACATATTCTATAGGTATATATTAATGTCTGTCACTGGGAAAAAGAGAGAACAAGAAGGGGACATGAACAGAGAAGGAAATAGGAGTATTATTCTGAAAAGCAGATACCCACGTATGTGTTAACAGGGATAGAGGGCTTTTCTATAGAAGATCTAGACGTTTGTATAGAGAATGGCATAGTCATTGCATGGCCTTCTAGAATGTTGACCCTAGAGTTTTTTTTTTGTTTTTTTTTTTTGGAGACGGAGTCTCCCTCAATCTCCCATGCTGGAGTGCAGTGGCGCTATCTCAGCTCACTGCAAGCTCCGCCTCCCGGGTTCACGCCATTCTCCTGCCTCAGCCTCCGGAGTAGCTGGGACTACAGGCGCCCGCCAGTACGCCCGGCTAATTTTTTTGTATTTTTACTAGAGACGGGGTTTCACTGTGTTAGCCAGGATGATCTCGATCTCCTGACCTCGTGATCCGCCCGTCTCGGCCTCCCGACCCTAGAGTTTTAAAGCTTTGTACCTTTTTTCTAAGATAAGCATAAATGGAATGATGCAGCAGTCTGGCTGCTCCTTCTTTCCCTACCATTGATGACCAGGATGATTGAACTAATCTGTCTGCTGGGGTCATGACTTCTTTCTGCTTTCCCACTGCTTGTTCTGAAGCTACATACATCATGAAAGAAGATGACCATCTGAGATAGAAAAGTATAGAGTGAATTTATTTTAATATCTTTGGCTGATGTGCTGAAGTTACCTAACTTATTGTTAAAATCCCACATTACAGTAAAATAAAGTTTATTTCCTCAACATAAATTTACTTTTGCATTCTTTAATTTCAAAAAAGGATTTGAACTTTAAAAGTTAAACAAGGCCAGGTGCGGTTGCTCACGCCTGTAATCCTAGCACTTGAGAGGCCGAAGCGGGCAGATTGCCTGAGGTCAGGAGTTCGAGACCAGCCTGGCCAACATGGCAAAACCCCGTCTCTACTAAAAATACAAAAATTAGCCAGGCGTGGTGGCGCATGCCTGTAATCTCAGCTACTCGGGAGGCTGAGGCAGGAGAATTGTTTGAATCCAAGAGGCGAGGCGAAGGTTACAGTGAGCCAATATTGTGCCACTGTACTCCAGCCTGGGAGATACAGCAAGACTCCGTCTCAAAAAAAAAAAAAAAAAAAAAAGTTAAACAAGTGTTTTCTGTATTGTTGATTGGTGTTACTATTTCATGAGTTATGCTTTATTCTTTTACAGCATTATCTGACGCTGAAGGGAATTTTCTTTTCAATGGAAATTTTCTTCTAAGTACGTCAAAAAAAGAAATCAATGTGCAAGGAACAAGAACTGTTATTGAATACAGTGGATCAAATAACGCAGTTGAAAGAATTAATAGTACTAATCGACAAGAGAAAGAACTTATTTTGCAGGTAAATTCTCAGTCATCAGTAATAACACTTGGATTTAATTATATTAGTAAACTACTGGTTAAGTGCTTAACATTATCAAATATAAAATGATGTCAAGAATATATTTTTATGTATTAATTGTATGTTCTTTTATATTCTTATTGAGGTGTTGTGTGTGGGTAATTTATACAACCCTGATGTACATTATTCCTTCAATATCCCTTTGGAAGAGAGGAGTGACATGTTCACATGGGACCCCTATGGACCATGGGAAGGCTGTACCAAAATGTGTCAAGGTACGCTGGCATTCAATAAGGGAGAAAAGACTGACTGTGCATTCTGGCATCATTTTGGGTACTTTTGAGTCTTGGCTGCCTATGGAATCCTCCCCACTGTCCATACACATATCCCACAGACATACAAAAGTTTTCAATCTTTTTTTCCTTTCTACTTTTTTCACTAATTCTTTCTGTTTCTTATACTTAACAGCACTATTTAATGCTACTCTTTTCACCCTTCTCTATCTATTACTGTTCTTTTACTTTCCCGTTCTCATTCTCTTTTTCACAGCCACAGAAAGTTTCTCTAACTTATATATATCCTGCTTCCTGGTGAAATATCTGCCTTTTCTTCCACTCATCTCCACACAGTCTTTCTCAACAACCTGGCTTCCTCTTTTATTGTTGAGATATCAAACATTCTTTTGTCTTTTATTTTCCTTCCCTGACCATGAGAAAGTATAATTGTATAGATGGCATGAAAAATGGAAAGAAATAGAGTGGGAAAAGGAGCAGAGTGGGAACAGCAGGACAATTTATAGTAGGGAAAAAAGTGGAAAGACTAGAGTCTGCAGTCTGTAATTATGAATATTTAATTGTGTAATATTATGTTCAATGCAGTACATATTTATTGAGGGAATATGCTCAGATTATTAATAAGATCCCAATTCTGAATTCATGTTTTATTTTAGTGCTTGAAACAGATGCATGAATATATATGTTAATGTATTAATAAAATGGTAAATACAGTACTATAGATACGCACAGTGTGGACCTCAGAAAAGGTGGAGGGAGCAGTTTTTGAGGAGACTGAAGCTGAAGATAGAGAATTTTGTATAGAATGGAAGAAAAGTTTTCATGAAGAATAGAGAAATAGCTTGGGAATTAGGGCAGGAGTGGGTCAGGGCAAAGGAAGCTCCGAACCATGTGGAGATGAGCTTATCATAGAAAGTGGGCAGCAAGAGGCGGTGACCAAAGGTGGTGAGAATGTGAAGAACAGTCTACCATCTGACCTGACGAGGTGCCAAAGGAACTGTGGTGCCCTATTCAGGAAAAGGCACAGTCTTGGTCCTGTGGCATCTGGACAGTGCTTCCCAGAATGATTTCATGGGAACAAATGTTCCTATTTTAGCAGTGTCTCAGTGGAGGGATACAAGGAAATGATGCAAGATAGACGGGGATAATAGAGGTAGAAAACACAGAGCTTTGGTTAACATAGAAGAAGGAAAAATTTATTTTGACAGAAAGGTCCTGAATATCCTTTTAGAAGATAATTGGAATCTGGGGAGCTGGGATCAGCATTCCAACTTGAGTGGGTAAGCTCATCTGTGACCGTGGATATAAGGAGCTAGAAGGAGAAATTTCAGAAACAGGAGAATGAAGGAACATTTTAAAATGCAGTGAACACACAGAGAATAACAAGATTCAAAATGGAAGTTTGGAAAAACATGGTGGGAGACGATTTGGGAGTCCAAAGCAGGAGAGTTCTCTTAAACAATCGCGTGCAGGGGAAAAGCAACTATTATTTCTTTTACCATATAGTGAACTCTGATTATATTCCCTTTTTTTGTGTATTTTTTTTAGTTTCTCTAAAGTTAAAGTTAAATTCCCTCTTTTGTTTGTTTCTGTGTACTGAAAGTTATCAGTCCTCAAGCTTTTTATCAGAACTCTACATTTTGTCTTAATATTGTCAAGCATATTATAGAATTTATCAATTTGATTTTTCTTTCACTTTTTCTTTACCTTTGGCTACTGTGGCCCTCTTTTCTCTAATTTGTTCATGTTGTTTTTTAGGCTTGTTTAATGACTGTCATTTTGAGATTTTCCTTCATTATTGTCCTGGGAATTCTCTTCAGTATTCTGTGTTAGATTCCCTGTTTTCTAAATCCTCTCAGTCCCTCTTTTTGATTTACTTCTTTCATTGGGTGGAACATATCCCTCAGTATTTTCTTGAGAAGAGAATATTTTTGAGACCTTTCATATCTGAAAATGACATAACTATATTCTCATGCTCGATCAATAGTTTAGCTGGTATAAATAGAGAATGTTTTTCTTTAGAATTTTGAAGTTCTTGTTTTCTGGCTTGTTTTCCAATTTCATGCTTGTCATGCTTGTACATGACATGTTGTATTCTGGAAGTTTTGTGGATCCTCTCTTTAATTCTAGTGGTATGAAATTTCAGGACAATATGCCTTGATTTGGTTGTTTTTTCATCTATTTTTCTGGTAATTAAGATGCCATTCCAATTTGGAAACATAAATCTTTGTCTTGAGAAATTTATCATGTTCTTAGATGACTTCCTCACATTAACTTTTCTCTTTTATCTTTGGGAAACTAGTTCACATTCCTAAACTGATATTTCTTTTCTAATTTATTCTCTCAAATTCATTGTTTTCTTAATGTTTCTTCTCATAACATCTTGCTTTTGTTTTATGAATATAATACCTTCTATCATATCTCTGAGTGTATTAATCATAGTCTTTAAGTTTTCTTCTGCTCCCTCACTTATATGTGTTTCCTCCTAGGTCTATTTTGTTTTTGTTTATTTTACCTTTTTTGTGTGTGTTAGAGGCTTTCCTAGAATGTCTACTGACCTTGCGCTGTTTGTTCATATTTTAAAAGTACTAAAAGTCTGATTGAAAGCCCTCTGTGGGTCAGACAAGTTAACTAGAAGTTTCATTATAGAGTAATTTGGTCATTAAGTAGCCCTCTCATATGTCATTGGAGAGAAGTCTCAAATGTTATTGTCAGTTGATCTTTTTTCTTGAGTTAAACGGTCCTGCAAGAGAGGAATTCTCTCATCTTCTGATTGTCATGAGGGTGCTGCGGGATAACAGAAGTTGGCATGGTGCCAGCAGGAGATTGAGCGCTGAATGGGCTGGGATCACATCATTCAGTGTGGGGAATTTTATTTAGCCACCTTGTTTCAGTAGAGTGTGTTCCCAGCTTTTCTCAGCTGTGTCTTATGCTCTCAAGTTCACTTTTTCTAGAGCTATGCTGTGCAATATGGTAGCCGCTAGCCATGTGTGGCTAATCTATTGAAATGTGCTGTAAGTGTTAAATGCATGCTAAATCTGGAAGACTTAGAATGAAAAAAGAACGTAAAATATATTATTAATAATTTTATATTGATATGTTCAAATCATATTTTAAATATTTGGGGCTAAACATAAAGGTTATTAAAATTAATTTAACTTTTTTTTTTAACGTGACTACTAGAAAATATAAAGTTCCAGATGTGGTTCACATTCTGTTTTCATTGGATAGTGCTGTTCTCAACTAGGAAGCTAGTGGTCTAACCATTCTTTTAAAATACTTTTCAATTAATTCTTTATTATTTCAGGCCTACCCCTCACACATTCGCCCTGTCAGAGGAACCTGGTGTTTTCCATTCCTGGGCCTCTCTTGGGTTCTATGTCATGAATGATTTGTTGCTTATTTACTTTCCCACTTTGCAGGCTTAGGTTCCAATTCCTTGGCTCTGTTAAATAGTTATTTCCATCTACTTTTCATATTCAAAATTTCATTTCCTTGCTGTTTTTTTTCTTTTCCTTTTTTTCTTCTTTTACGTTTATGCGTTTTCAGAATTTCTCATAGTCATTTCAAAAGATATTGAGAAAGGAGCAGAGATAACGTATATAATCATGTTTAGTTAACTGGAAGCACAAAGTTGAACTTTGATAAAACAGAAATTTGTTCATGTCACTGACTGCTTAAACTCTTTACTGTCTCCTCATTGCAGAAAGCATAAAGTTCAAATGACTCTGGTCAGTTATGACCACTTCTCTTAGTTTGCTTTTGCTGTAGTTATCCTGCATGCAAACCACCAAATCTTAATGGCTTGGAACAATAAAGGTTTATTTATTGCTCATGTCATGTTTTGGCTGCTAATTGGCTATGGGTCTACTCCAACTTGGTATCTGTATCCATGTTTTTTTTTTTTATAGACTTTTTTTATTTTATTTTTATTTTTATTTTTTTGTTTTTTTTTTTTTTTTAGAAATGGAGTCTCACTCTGTTGCCCAGGCTGGAGTGCAGTGGTGCGATCTCGGCTCACTGCAAGCTCTGCCTCCTGGGTTCACCCACCATTCTCCTGTCTCAGCCTCCCGAGTAGCTGGGACTACAGGCACCCACCACCACGCCTGGCTGATTTCTGTATTTTTAATAGAGACGGGGTTTCACCTTGTTAGCCAGGATGGTCTTGATCTCCTGACCTCGTGATCCGCCCGCCTCAGCTTCCCAAAGTGCTGAGATTACAGGTGTGAGCCAACACGCCCGGCCTAGACTTTATTTTTTAGAGAAGTTTTAGGTTTACTGAAAAATTGAGTAGAAAGTACAGAAAGTTTGCATATTCATCTTTCTTCCCTCTGCCATTCTCCTCCACACTCCTCTATTATTAACATCTTGCATTAATGTGGCACATTTGTGCAATTGATGAGCCAATTTTGATGCATTATTATTAATTAAAGTCCATAGTTTACATTAGAGTTTACTATTTGTGTTGTAAATTCTATGGTTTGACAAACGTATAGTGACATGTATTCACCAATATAATATCATACATAGTAGTTTCACTGCCCTACAAATCTCTTTGCTTCATCTATTTATTCTTCCTTCCTTCCCCCACAACTGGTGACAGACACTGATCTTTTTATTGCCTGTCTATGCCTTTTTTTTCCATGATTCCAGGCTGAAAGATCAGCTGTATCTGGGAAATGATGTTCTGGAGGCAGAGGGAAAAAGGAAAGAGAGCTGGGTGGGACTGGAATAGGTCACGTTCCTTTTCAGTCGGTTGATAAAAAGCCTGATGCCAATCAACAGGAAAGAGTTCTTCCCCTACAGGAAGTTACTATAACATTGCAGCAATAGAGATGTGCAATCCTCTTATGGGAAAATGGGAGGTAGCTGAGGTAGCTGATGGATGACAGTAATATAGTGTACTGTATAGCAACAGTGCTGTCCTTAGCTACTCAATTATTCACCAACAACCACTCTATCCCACTATAGTGAATTTCATTTTACTCCAATGCCTGTCCCATCTTCTGTACATCTCTTCATTAAGCAAACTTTCAGTCATTCAGGATTCAGCTTACTTATTATAAAAGTCATTCCTCATTAGATTAATATACTAGTATATCCTGTATGTTGCATTGGAAATTTTTACTTGCTTAGCTGGCTCCTTTAAGCTATTAGCAGAATTACATAATTATGGAACATCTAACTGTGAATTTTTCTTTCATTTTTTATTTTCATTTGACTTTGGCCAAGGTCTTCAGCGAAGAAACATAACTTGCATACATAAGAGTGATCATAGTGTTGTGTCTGATAAAGAATGTGACCACTTGCCACTTCCATCATTTGTTACTCAAAGTTGCAATACAGACTGTGAACTAAGGTAAAAGAGAAATAATATGTAATATAACCAGATTAATAAGTGAGCTAAGATTAAAATGTCTAACACAGTGACTGACACAGCATGGACATGCAATTATTACTCATCATCTGCCATGCCATGAAAAAATTTCAGGCTCACTATTTTATGGTAAAACTCAGTACATAATTGATTTGAATTTTCATTCATAGTATTTTCTGAATACCAGTATATAGGCCTCAATATTTTATGTAGAAAAAGATTGTAATTTTGTCTGTAAAATAAATACAAGTAAACTGTTATCTGAAAATGGATGGTTTAAAGATCTGAAACAATAAATTTTTTAGCATGATTCTTTACTTTCCACGGAATTAATGAACCAGTAAACTTCTGAAGTTTGGAGAAATCAAATTGATTGATTTCCTTGACATTCTATCAGTATTTTGTCCATTAAACTTTAGGGAAATTGATCCTAGATCATGACAGCAAGTTTATACTTCTAATTTAAATTTCTTGTTATTTGGTTTGTGTGTGTGTGTGTGTGTGTGTGTGTGTGTGTGTGTGTTTGTGTGTGCATGTGTGTGTGTGCGTGATTGGTCTTGTAGTGACATGGTATACAATGAGTCCATCTATCATATTTATACATTTATTTTTAGCATTGTAGCAGGTGCCATTTAACATTCAGGTATGGCCAGAACCTCTTTCACTTGATGAGAATTTCTATATATTTATGATGTTGGTTGAAGGCATAGCAGAAGCACAGTAGTAGAACTGCCTATATAAGTTGCATCCACTACATAGTAGTAAAAGGAAGCACAGTGAAATTCTTGAGATGCTATTAGGGACGGAAATGAATTCTGTGAATTCTGTGTTTTGTTATACTGGTGCCCTCACATTGATGAATGCTAGACTACAATTGGGATAATTTGGCTATAACTAACATTTTTACTTGTGGAAGACATGTTTTACCTGGAAACATGTCTAAATATAGATTACAGGAATGAATGAGAAAGTGTAGTGTACTTTGCAAAAACTAGTTAACTTTTTAAATGCTTTATTTTTATTGATGTAGTCAAATTCCTAGACGTTCCCTGGTCATAAAATCGAAATACTTATAGAGGATTGCATAGGGATAAACTATCTGATTGGCAGTCAGATATGTTCAGTTATTATCTTAAATCTGCCACTAAGTAATTGGGTAATCATAATCTAAACCAGTTGTTTTCAGAGGTTTTTGAGGAAGCTTGGGGTTCCTTGGACGCACCTCCAAAGCTACCACCAAGTGCTGGCATGAGGTCAGTAGTATAATGCTGGCTTCCTGGCTGCAGACTGGTTTTGTTTTTTGGTGGTTTGTCTATCAACTTTTAGGATTTTAAAAACTGAATGCATGAGTGTCTCTGAATCTGTTTTTAAATTATGTAATATACCTCCTAAGTATAGTAACATCTTTTTTCAAGGTGGCATGTTATTGGCAAAAGTGAATGTTCATCCCAATGTGGTCAAGGATATAGAACCTTGGACATCCATTGCATGAAGTATTCCATTCATGAAGGACAGACTGTTCAAGTTGATGACCACTACTGTGGTGACCAGCTTAAACCTCCTACCCAAGAACTATGCCATGGTAACTGTGTCTTCACAAGATGGCATTATTCAGAATGGTCTCAGGTACAATAAAAATGATTGCTTAAAAAAAGTTGCCCCTTTCTTTCTAATTACGTATTTATGTTACTCTGAAGTATAATTTTGTTGAAAATCTGATTTTTTTCCATTAGTTACCACTTTTTTTTTTTTAATCAGTGTTCCAGGAGTTGTGGAGGAGGGGAAAGGTCTCGAGAATCTTATTGTATGAATAACTTTGGCCATCGTCTTGCTGACAATGAATGCCAAGAACTGTCCCGAGTGACGAGAGAGAATTGCAATGAATTTTCCTGTCCCAGTTGGGCTGCTAGTGAATGGAGCGAGGTACATTAAACACATGATGCTTGGAACTATTAAAATATTGTGTTAGTAAAGCTTTGTAATCTAAGACTTTACAAAATTTAAAAGTGCTTAAATTTATTTCATCATTTTGTAAATAACTATTATCAAAGCTGTCAGAAATTTATAAGACAGGCCAGGCACACAGTGTCTCATGCCTGTAATACCAGCACTCTGGGAAACTGAGGTGGGTGGATTGCTTGAGCTCAGATGTTCAAGACCAGCCTGAGCAACATAGTGAAATTTAGCTGGATGTGGTGACACACACCTGTGGTCCCAGCTACTCGGGAGGCTGAGGTGGGAGGATTGCTTGAGTCTGGGACGTGGAGTATCAATGAGCAGAGATTGCGGTAAGCTGAGATTGGCCACTGCACTCCAGCATGGGTGACAGAGTGAGAATCTGTCTCAAAAAAAAAAAAAGAAATATACAAGATAGTTTGTCTTTATACTATTTACAGTATCTGACTAGTAATAACACTAACTGATATTTAATCTATAACCCTTTGCATAAGAAAGTGCCAGGGTCCACAGCAGCCTGGGATGAATACTTATTCTAAGGTTAGTTTTGCACCTTTGTTTCTAGGATAAATGGATGTTTCAGTGGGACTTGGGCAGCAGAAGTTAGGGGCAGGCTGATTTTACCCAGTGAATATCTCTGGTGGAGTGAGGGAAAATGCATTTGGGAATGGTTTTTCAACTGTATTTCTATATGCAAATTGATCATTGCATCAGTTTAAGGCATTTGTGTTGACTAATGCTGCAAATAAATAATGATCAGTTTTATTCTTACAGTGCCTTGTTACATGTGGTAAAGGAACAAAGCAGCGGCAGGTATGGTGTCAGCTGAATGTAGATCACTTGAGTGATGGCTTCTGTAATTCAAGTACCAAACCTGAATCTCTGAGTCCATGTGAACTTCATACATGTGCTTCCTGGCAAGTAGGACCATGGGGTCCTGTGAGTATATGATATGGGTTTTTCTAATTTGATCTATCTTTACAGAATAGCACAAAAGTTGTGTTATATTTACTCCTCCCTTAGTGGATGCAATGGAATTTGGCTTGGTTTATTAAAAAACAACAGCAACCCTGAAATGTGAATCTTTATGTGTAACATGTTGATAGTACTGCTAATTTTTCTGTAATAAATATTTCAGCTTTGCTTTTAAATTCCCTTTTGTTAACCAAAATGCTACAGACTTTATGCTTTTATCAGCTTTATTTAGATTATAAATATTTTCATCTCTGTGTCTGCATTGATATCTTTATTGTTTTTAGGATAGGCATCGTTTAGACGTTTTGCTGAACAGGCAGCTAGGAGTCTGCAGGATGAGCAATGATCAGGCTGGATGAGGATGGAGTAGCTTATTATTCTGTAGAGGTTGCCACAGTTGACAGGAAGCCTTCTCTCATTTTCCCTTTAACTTTATATGCTGTTCCTTCTTTGTCTCTTTAAAATTTACTTAGTATATTAAATGACATGCATACACTAGGTGGTGTTTGAAAAATATTTAGTTTCCTTAAATCATATTGACTGCTTTCTAAAATATCAGGCCTCTATTTATATTTTTATATGACAACTTTTCAGAATACATTAATTGTTGTACAGTTTGGTTAACTTCAATATTTGGTATTTACTTAATTTGAATAAATATGCATATTTATTGAATTTGCTCTTTTTAAGTCTTAAATCTAGTATAAAGGATTGATAAAAAGATTATTAAAAGTATATTATTAACAGGGTATTCATTAAGAAAATAGAAGTTTGTGTAACTTTTGGGAAACAATGTTTTTTTAATATCTATATTCTTCTTTCAGTGCACAACCACATGTGGACATGGGTATCAGATGCGAGATGTTAAATGTGTCAATGAGCTAGCTAGTGCAGTGTTAGAGGACACAGAATGCCATGAAGCTAGTCGCCCCAGTGACAGACAGGTAAAAAGAATCATGGTTTACAAACAAAAAGATTTATGAGACAGAAAGATTATTGATGTGTTAAAATTATTTCTTTACTTATTTTTTTCCACTTAAACTTGTATGCCTTAAACACGTGTATGTGTGAGAGAGAGGCAAAAAAATAGAATTTGTTGTTCTTGGTTTTGCCAGCTTTGTAGCTTTATCAATGAATTTTTTTTTTTTTTTTACTCTTTATCTGCTAAGGGCTCACTCATTTAACTTGTGAATTTCCATTCTTTGAACTGAAGAAGAAGGTTATATCTATTATTATAAATATCATGAACTCCTAAAGTGTATTGTGTTTTTTAAGGTAGAGTTTTGTGTCCGTTCAGAATGTTTTAGCTGAGCAGTATTTTTAAAGGACTGAAGCTCTTTTCCTTTTCAGCAATCAAACAGAATGGTCCAAACTTTAGGATTCAGTCATTATCCACTATTGACACTTGACGATACTGTAGTTAGTGCTTTTGAAAATGAAAACATTCATATTACCAATTTCTAATTTAGTATGGAACGGTTCTTGAGACATACAGAAGAAGTGAAGTATTAGATTTTGTATAAATCAGTCATTAATTAATGTTTTACGAGAACCATTTTTCTTCTGAACAGAGCTGTGTACTTACACCTTGCTCATTTATTTCTAAACTTGAGACCGCTTTATTACCAACTGTTCTCATAAAAAAGATGGCACAATGGCGACATGGTTCTTGGACCCCAGTAAGTGAATTTCTTTAATAGATACAGTGTTTCTATTATGGTAGCTTTTAGACATCAACAAAATGGTTGCTAGAGATTTCACAATGTATACATTTATTCTCAGGTATTTTGATGGCATCAAAGAAGTATAGGGTTTAGAATTAGGAATTAATGGCTAAGTCCTTTGCCTTTCAAGAGCTCTGTGTCTCTGGACAAGAAATTGAAGTTTTCTGAGTATATTTTCTAATCTTCAAAATGGGAATACTAATAATACTTACGTCACAGGTTGTTATGAGAATCAGATTTAGTATTAGGCTGTATCGGCTTTTATTTGAACTACAAACATTTTCATGTTGTTTTTCTACACTGAAAGCTTTAACGTATGTGGAGTATACGTTGCTAAAATCTTGTAGAATATGTATTTTTAAGCTTCATATATTCTCTGAATATTTTAATTATGGAATTATATCTATCTGTTACTTAGTAGTAGATATTATATATCAAAATTATTTTTATTGATATCATAAGATTCTCTTACCTAAAATATTTTAAGTATCTTTAATTTTAGCAAATAACTAAGCATTATTTTAAATCATTATATTTATGTATTATTGAAATTACTATACATTATTTGTGAAATTTATGATCTAAACTGATTGGAATATTCACTACCCCATCTTTATTTGACTCAGAAGTGATGTCAGGTAATATTATCTATAATAATTTAAAATTTCTCAAGAAACTGGATGTTTTAGAAATGTGAGTAACAGCTATGTAAAAGGGACATGGGTGAGGTACTACTGTATAATGCCCGGATACAATTTGATTTCTTAAAAAGTGCTCCGTATCTTGTGGAAGAGGTACTCAAGCCCGCTATGTAAGCTGTCGTGATGCTCTTGATAGAATAGCAGATGAATCATATTGTGCCCACTTACCCCGACCTGCTGAAATATGGGACTGTTTTACCCCTTGTGGAGAGTGGCAAGCAGGGGATTGGTCACCCGTAAGTATTCTTATGAGAAAAAAAGAAAATGAAAAATTTAAATATATTTGATATTAAATATAAATTAATGTTGTATATTACCATTGGCTAAATTTTTGATCAGTGTTCAGCTTCCTGTGGCCATGGAAAAACAACTCGACAAGTTTTATGCATGAACTACCATCAGCCAATTGATGAGAATTACTGTGATCCTGAAGTTCGCCCTTTGATGGAACAGGAATGTAGCCTGGCAGCCTGCCCTCCTGCACACAGCCACTTTCCTAGTTCCCCTGTGCAGCCAAGCTATTATCTAAGCACGAATTTGCCATTAACTCAAAAACTTGAAGATAATGAAAATCAGGTGGTCCATCCATCAGTCAGAGGAAACCAGTGGAGAACCGGACCATGGGGATCAGTAAGCCATCTTTATTGAGTTATATTAATTCTGTAATTTTGTTATATTACATCCTTTTAACAGGTATGTATATGATGCCATCAGTACTTTAAATGCTAAATTTATTTCAAGATCAATAGTTTAAATATTAAAAAGATTAAGCGTCTTTGATGCTCATTACAAATGCTAGAGTTCTTATTGAATTATGCACTAATGTGTTATTATGATTACAGAGGAATGTACTGTAAAACAATCTGATTAGAATTCATTGTAATAAAAACAAAAGAAAATGCTTTAAGGGGTAAGACTATAAATGTTTATGAATAAACCTAAATCCCAAAATTATTATGATAGCAATACAATAAGCTGGTATAAAATCATGACAAACTACAAATGGTATAGTTTTAGTTCATATTTTACATAACATTCATAATACAAAATAAAGAAAAACACCAGTGTAAAGTTAAGTAATTTAATACTGTCTTTTATTCCTTTCTAGTGAGATCTCAAAAACTTTAATTTCTTTTTACTTAACACTTATGATAGAAATGAAAATTGTTTCCTAATGCAAACTTGAAAGTCCCACCTTTTCATCAACAAATTCTAATGAAGCTCCCAGTATAACTCAAGTGTTTTGATAGATTTTCTCAATTCAAATTGTGATTCCAATGAAGGAGATTCTAATGTAGGGTTTGATTTTGATTGAGTCAATGCTGATTTTTTTTTTTTACCATGTAAATTCATTATGTGGAATCCGCAGTTTGTGCATATTTTGTGTTTTATTCTTGTCAGTGCTCCAGCAGTTGTTCTGGAGGTCTTCAGCATAGGGCTGTGGTCTGCCAGGATGAAAATGGACAAAGTGCTAGTTACTGCGATGCAGCCTCCAAGCCTCCAGAGTTACAGCAATGTGGTCCAGGGCCTTGTCCACAGTGGAACTACGGAAATTGGGGAGAAGTAAGTCATAATATTTTCTAAACTTGTGAGATTATTACATCTCTGAAGACTGAAAGTAAAAAGCATCTTATACTGTTCAATAATCTGATTTCACTATACTATGTAGAAAAAGAATTTTTGTTTTTTTTGTTTTTGGAGACAGGGTCTCACTCTGTTGCCCAGGCTGGAATGCAGTGTCGTGATCTCGACTCACTGCAACCTCCACCTCCTGGGCTCAAGCGATCTTCCCACCTCAGCCTCCCGAGTAGCTGAGACTACAGGTGTGTGCCACCATGCCTGGCTATTTTTTTCATTTTTAATAAAGATGGGAATTTCACCATGTTGACCAGGCTGGTCTCAAACTCCTGGCCTCAAGTGATTCTCCCGACTAATTTATTTTAATTGAGTGATTAAACCAAGTTCTTTTAATAGATGTTCTGTCATGGTTTAGGTCACTCATTCATGATTTAAAAAATGCATATTCTAGATTTTTCAGCAGACTCTAATATGCTAGGCAATATGTCTTTGAATTACTAGTATCTTTCTAAAATTGGTTTATTCTCTTAATTTCTTAGAAAATTAGGTTGATATAAAAATAGAAAACTAGAATAAAATATAAAACATGTTTAATCCTATTACTAAGTTATGCATTTGGCAAATCTTTTTCTTTAAGCCAGATAGTTGTCAGTTATTGAGCACTTGCTTCATGCACTGGCACTCTCTAGGAACTGGAAATAAAAAGATAATTTTTTAAAGTCACTTTTAATACTAACCTCCTTCGTAATGTGGAATGGTAATAAATAAGAAGCAAAGATTTCTATTAGCTTTGGATAAATAAAATGAATGACTTAGTCAAATGTTTTTGCTTAATGATTTTTAGCACATAATTTCTGTTCATTGGGAGTTTGAAACCATGTTTTTAAAGTACACCCAGACCAGGTGTTAATACATATCAAGCACATTTTTAAGATACAGTTTTACTGTTTTCCAAAACGAAAGTACTTCTATTTCTGAGTTTACATGCACTTATTTTGAAAATTCAAATTATATGTCCAAATAGAGATACAAACTTTTAGCAAGATTTGGTATATTTCCTGCCAGGCTTTTGTTCTGCATGAGTTTTAGAAATTGGTTCACATTATACAGCTGTTTTGTTATTTGCTGTTTTTATATTATATATACTGAACATTTCATGTTTATAAAATTAGACGTACCTTATTATTAATAGCTTTCATGGTTACTTAGTAACCTGTTGATTGGATATTGTACATTATGTAATTAATGCTCATGACTTAGATAAATAAATTTTGATTCTGGCTTAACCTGCCAACATTATCTTATAGGTCCTGGATATCTTACTGAAATATATTATGATACTAATCCTCAAAATCTGGTCAATTTTTAAAGTCGTGGAATTGAAACTTTGATTTATTTTTTTGTCTAGGGGGAAATGTTGATAATTATGAAGTAATTATAAACTTAAACGCTACCATTACTAGAGTAACATTACTAGAGTAAACTAATTATGTTAAAATTACTAGAATAAACATAATTACTAATTATGTTTAAACATTGAATGAAGCAATACATTATTCTCTTTAAAACCACAGTTTTGAATTTTCCTATTCTTGTTTTTAGTGTTCACAAACATGTGGAGGAGGAATAAAATCAAGACTTGTAATATGTCAATTTCCCAATGGCCAAATATTAGAAGATCACAACTGTGAAATTGTAAACAAGCCACCTAGCGTAATACAGTGTCATATGCATGCTTGCCCTGCTGATGTGTCATGGCATCAGGAACCATGGACATCGGTATGATAGCACTCTTGTCTGTTAACATGTCATACTTTAAAGTTTGAGTCTGAGTGAGGGAGAGTTCATTGTTTTTCTTTTCTTCGACTTTTATTTTACATTCAGGGGTACATGTGCAAGATGTGCAGGTTTGCTGCATAGGTAAATGTGTGCCATGGTGGTTCGCTGCACAGATGATCCCATCACCTAGCTATTAAGCACGGCATCCATTAGCTAGCTATTCTTTCTGATGCTCTCCCTGCCCCCCACACTCCTCCCCCAACAGGCCCCAGTGTGTTGTTCCCCACCATGTGGCCATGTGTTCTCATCATTCAGCTTCCACTTATAAGTGAGAACATGGAGTGTTTGGCTTTCTGTTCCTGTATTAGTTTGCTGAGGATAATGGTATCCAATTCTATCCATGTCCCCGCAAAGGACGTGATATCATTCCTTATTACGGCTGCATAGTATTCTGTGCTATGTATGGTATGATAATATTCTTATTCTTTTTTGTTTTGTTTTGTTTTGTCTCTTTTGCTTTAATTTATTCTCTTTATAAATTGTGGGATGCATACACTTTGTCTTCTCCAGTTTCTTTTTAAAGTATATCATTGGCCCTCTTGGTTTGTGTTTTGAAATTTGATAGTTTGGAAGAGGAATCTATTTAATTTCAAGTAGTGTAACATATATAATAGTTTTTTTATATATTTATTTTTTAATATGTGAACTTTGAACCATACTACTGTTCTAATGGAAATATTTTTCTCCGTTTTATGTTTGGCTTGCTGTCAATTAATCAGGACTATTATATTATTTATGTTTATATATAATGTTGACGTTGTGCTTGTAAAAATGGCAAATTAAGGCTGTGTCTTGTTTAGGCATATAATTATGTGTGGCTTTCATCTGTTAATATCCATAACTGCTCCAAAAACCAAATAGTATTCTTTAAAACTTGTTTTTTGTCATTATCCAACTTATTATTTTGTTTGGAAATGTGAAAATATTATGTTTATAAAAGTAGAGAAATTTACTTCCATAACAGAACTTGTTTACAGTTTTTTACATATGTCATGCAAAAGTTTAATTTATGTAATAATCTATAGATTATGCATTTCTCCCACTTTGTGGAGTTAGTGGTTTGGGAATATTTTAATTTTCTGGGTTTTTATTGGAGCCATAGACAAAACTCATAAACTTTGTTCATGATTATTTAGTAGCCTTCAAATATCTTTTTTTTGAGGAGTAATTAATATATAACTATATTGAAATAGGCATTTTGATTACCATTGATATTTTAAATCAAGAATGACCAAGTACATTGCCATTAAGTGAACTGATTTGAGTTTATAATCTATTTGTAATTAAATTTATAAAGCTATGTGGTTCTTTATTTGAAAATTAGTTATAACTCCAGTTTTATAACCAACCCTTGATGCCTGCTCTTGTTTTGTTTTGCCCTACCCAAACATCTTTATAATAAGATATAAACCCAAGTTTCAAGTCATGTTATTTGAAGAGTAGGTCAAGCTCTGGTTCAGGCTGAAATTCATCTTTATAGTCAAAGTGTGACTGATGATATTAAACAACAGAACATTTTAACTTTATAGGAGGATCTTAAAGTGAAATTGCTGCCTCAAAGGACCATCATCTTGTGGGAACTAATGAAAAACATATTTTGCCATGGAAAGCACTCACATATGTATTTAATAAATGTCGTTACTGACCATCTACTATATCCTAGGCACTGTGATCCAGAGACAATTGAAACATATTTCTTATCCCTATGGAGTTTACAGTTTACTTGGGGAGATTTGAAATACTATAAGAACTCACTATAAAAAGATATTTTTATTAGCTATCTTAGATTGGAAATCCACTTTCTGCTTACTGTGTCTCTGTTCCATCTTCTTTCATTTTATTGGTTTTAGTTTGCAAGCCTAGTTCTTAAGAAGACTGTGGATTACTTTCTTGGAATTTTTTCCCAATTAGGAGAGCAGAATCCTAACTGCTAATGAGATTGAATTGTAATGGCATTTGTTTCTGAGCATAGACGTTTTATTTTCCCTACCCATTCATGACTTCAATTCACCAAGCATTAAACATTTACTTAGGTCTCATGCTTTATATTAGATATTGAAGCAATTAAAATTAAGTGTTTGTGAGTCAGATTCTCTGTTTTAGAGGTCAGCAAACTATGGTCCAGGTACCAAATCTGGCCTGTTGCCTATTTTTAAAATAAGTTCTATTGGAACACAGTCATGCTCATTTGTTTACGTGTTATCTATGGCTGGTTTTGCACTACAGCAGTAGCATTGATTAGTTGCAATAGAAACTCTGTAACTCACAAAGCCTGAAATATTTACTATCTAACTTTTTCTGGGAAAAGTTTGCTGACCCCTGTTCTATTTAATAAACATTATAATGCTTTTAAGTTTAACATAAAAAGGTACTTAGATTTATAGAATATTAAAATTACAAATAATTCATTCCAGGTCAGTTTTAGATGTTTTTGATCCTTTGATATTTTACATTTTAAGGTTTATCAACCTTCTCTACATATCCACTGTGATATTCATGCAATGTTTATGTAAATGTATCTATACTATATTCCAATATATTTTTGTTATGCTATTTTTTGTATGTAAATTATATCACAAGTGAAAAATCTGAATGCTCATTAAAGTCCTCTGTATAGATGACTTTTCAACCTCACAAAAACAAATGACCAAGAAAACAATAATCACAGATTGCCAAATAGTAAGACAGATGTGCAGAATTATTTAGTGTTATTACATGTATATCCCAAAAGGAATTCATTGAATAATTCACTCTTTGCACTATGAAGAAATGTAGTATTTTTATTTTTTTGATAAGTTGAATGTATTGAAGTTTTAAAAATCACAATAAAGGTTTGTATAGAATTTTTACAATCATATTTACTTTTTTATATGTATGAAGTACTTACATATTATTAGAGTGACTGGATTTCTTTTATTATATGAAGCATATTTATTTGTTAAATTAGACTTTTATATTAAATGGGTTTAGGGGATCTGAAGTTCTGTTGTCAATACCAAATATAACATTTTACCTCTTTCAGTGTTGGTGCATATTAGACAAACTTCAGAATAGCTTATTAGCATATTAGATTAATATTCTTTCATGGATAACTTTAACTTCAACAGATCCTGTTGACTAAGTAGAAAATTAAGAGTGTGTATGCATGCATGTGTGTGTGTATGAGTGAGTGACATGAAATCTCAGAAACATTTTTCATTTTAAAGCAAATGAAATGTGAAATGTAAAATTATTTAAAATATTATTAGAAAGCTTTAAGATACATTTAAATTTTCTTCATGTTGTAGAAAGTCTTGTGCTGTAATAAAAAAAGGAATAAATAAATCTTAGCCTATGTTAATTTAATGGCTACATTTTTGGTGATTAGTCAGCGTGAAATGATTGTATTTTAACCCGTTTATTAGTGGGTATTGTGGCTTTGTGCTTTATGTCATTCATATGTATGTTGTATTTTTACTCCTTGCACTTAAAATGTTCCGAGTCACTGAACAGATCTTATATTATTAATATAAGGAATGCCTCCTTTCTTTCGGTGGTGTTTTTCTTAAATAACAAACTGTTAATTTCTCTTATTAAACATTTAATTGTTGAATAGTATATGTTTTCATAATTGTATTTAGTTTATGTATAAGCTACTGTATTTTTTACATAATATTCTTGTTAGAAACTAACACTGGGATTTAAAAGTATAAGACTTATTTGTTAGCAGTCAATTTTTAAATACTGTGAAATTTTTATAATTTTCTCTTTATATATTATAAACAATGAATACAAATTAATGATGTAAGCAAATTTATTTAATAAGTTAAAAATAGATATGCTTATGACCAAGGTAGTCTTTAAAAGGTGAGTAAAAGTTTTACTTTTCTCATTCATATATAGTAAGGGACATTACGTGTAACACAATTCAACTAGCAAATGCTCTTTAAGTAAATTCATATTACTTAAATTTTCTCACTAAGTTTCATTTTAGAAGTAATTTATTTTCTTGGAATGTTTTTATTCCTCACATAGAATGAAATCATATTTGGTAAACAAATAGTGTGTATTCAGTGTGCTTTGGGAATGATGACTATCCAACAGTAGGGAAGAGAATATATATTTTTTTCCTTTTTGCCTTAAAGATTGTTTTTCCTCACACAAAAAAAGAGAAAGTTTTTTTTTTTTTTTTGTAAATGAAAGCTTGCTACTTGAACCCTAAATTCTGGCGCATTCACTTTGTGTTTCTTCTTAAAAAAAATGTCCTTCTGAAACATTGTGCAGAAAAAAATATATACTGTACTAAATCTATTATATGATATAATGGAATGCAACAAATAGAAGCACTGTCAGAAATGATCATGTAAGCCGGGCATAGTGGCTCATGCCTGTAATCCCAGCACTTTGGGAGGCTGAGGCGGCTGGATCACTTGAGGCCAGGAGTTCGAGACCAGCCTGGCCAACATGGTGAAACCCCCGTCTCTACTAAAAATACAAAAATTACCTGGGCGTGGTGGCATGCGCCTGTAATCCCAGCTACTCTGGAGGCTGAGGCAGAAGAATCGCTTGAACCTGGGAGGTGGAAGTTGCAATGAGCCGAGATGGTGCCACTGCATTCCAGCCTGCGTGACAGACCGAGACCCCATCTCAAAAAAAAAAAAAAAAAAAAAAAAAGAAGGAGGAGGAGGAGAAGAAGAAGAAGAGGAAGAAGAAGAAATGAGCATGTAGTAGCAGCAAACACCGGTAAATCTGACATTTGTCCATTTGAAAAGAGCACTAAGGGTCTGAGCAAAGGGTGTTGGGCTCTGCCTCCCCCTGTAGCTCCCATTTAAGAGAAATGCACTCAGGAAGAAACTGCCTCTGTTGCTCCTAAGGCCAGCAGGAGCCAGGCAATGTGTAGGCAAATAGTTTCAAGAAACTGCCACTTCTTTATGTTGACTTTGTAAAGTGGAGTGTTCAGTGAAAACATAGTAATTGTTTTCTTAAATTTGAAAAAGACACATAAGTATAGTAAACAGGTTAGAAATATATTTTAAAAATAAATTTTATAATACACTTCTCATAACAATTAAGTATTTAACTAGTATTTTTCCATTTATTATGTTTTCTACTGTATCTTTCTAAAGTACATTCATTGATTCTCCCCAAAAGTATGAGTATCTACTACATATTAGACATCGTAATGGTCACTAAAAATAAACCAGGCACTGTGGACAAGGTGTTTGCAGTTTAGCAATGAATGTAATTAATAAACAGGTGGCCAGAATGCCGGGTGAGATTCCTAACACATTTCAGTAACAACCATGTGATTTATCATACTGAAGACCCATAATATTTGGGGCTTACTAGGTTGAGATAATCCAAGAATTAGTAATGAAGATTGTATTTAACAGTAAAATAATTCGGCAATTGTTCCTTCTACAAAGCCTAAACTAGTAGGCTATTCTGTCATAACCTGGCAAGAGATAAGCAGTGTCCTAATTCCCTACCATAAAAGAATAATATTTTGCATAATTGCAGCATCTACCTTTTCTGCACATGTGGATTTCATATGTCACCAAAGAAGAGAATGTAGATGGATGTATAGTTTGTCCTAGATATGATGTTCAGAAAATAATTTTGAAGACAAAATTGGGCCCTGCAGATTTGAAATGTATGACCTGGGAAAAATTTAAGTGGATACTCTAATTATTGGTGAGATCATAAAAGAGGAGACTGTGTGTGTGTGTGTGTGTTTGTGTGTGTGTGTTATAATGTTGAGTGAAGTTGGAATGTACAGTATAAAATAACCCTAAAAACTCTCAATATGAAATGGTTATAGGCCATGTTTTTTTCTATATGTTTCCATGTTAAAGAAAGTGAAAGTGTCCATGTTTCCATGGCAGTTCTCCTATTTTTCAGGCATAATGCTTTAGGAATGTTTAAGCATCTCAAGAAATTGTTGTCAGTGTTCTACAATATCTATGTGCTGTATATTGAGGCTGTTTATAGAAGATATATAAGCATTCTTAATATTAGTACATTTAGATATCCCAAATTTTTGTTATAGAAACTTTGTGTGTTACCTTCCAATAGTTTGAGAAAATCATACTTTAATTTCTACATTATCACATCACTCAGACATTAACGTTTTTATGTTTATTCCTTGTTAGGAATAAACATTTTTAAGTCATTTGATTTTTAATTTTTTGATCATACGTATCATTCTCAGTAGAACATTTTGAGAATGTGCCCATATATATGTATTATATAGTCATACATTGCACACATAAACTAACATATGATTATGTGATTTATAGAAGATATACAAGTGTAAATTTAAAAGGGTAAGTTGAATAATTAATGTTAAATATAATTTTTATTTTGTGAATGGTAACTTTTCTCTCACAACTGTTCTAACCATTTAATTTTTTTAAAAGTAGTAGACTCGTTAGTTTTGAACATTTTGTTTCAACATTGTGCTATAGCAGTTTTAAAATATGGTTTATTTCAATATGTGGTTTCAATAACTTCTTTAGCTGAAAAATATACCTCACAAAATACCTCCAAATAACAAGGTTTGTCACTGAATGCTCCTGATATATACCAGTAATTGACTTCAAATCCAGTATAAATAATTATTGGAAAAAGATTGAAATTTGCTTCACAAATTTCTATTTTCCAGGTTATTCAGTTCTTGAAGTACTACTAAAAGAAGCTGTAGTTCAATATTTTAACAAGAAGCTTTAAAACTCAGTGAAACTTTGAAATATTCGGAAGCCATTTAAACAGATTAGAAATTTTTGTTTCAACATTTTAGAAATATACAATTGGCATATCGTTTCTGAAATGTTTGCTTCAAAGTTTTAAAAATATGCCCTTGGCGAGCCTGGGTGCAGTGGCTCATGCCTGTAATCCCAGCACTTTGGGAGGCCGGGGCAGGCAGATCACGAGGTCAGTAAGATTGAGACCATCCTGGCCAACATGGTGAAACCCTGCCTCTACTAAAAATACAAAAATTAGCTGGGCGTGGTGGCGCGTGCCTGTAATCCCAGCTACTCAGGAGGCTGAGGCAGGAGAATCGCTTGAACCTGGGAGGCGGAGGTTGCAGTGAGCCAAGATAGCGCCATTGCACTCCAGCCTGGCGACATAATGAGGCTCCGTCTCAAAAAAACAAATGCCCTGGGCAAAATCACCTAGCAGGAGAAACGTTTCCAAACATTTCAAAATGTTCTCTCCTGAGTAGGAGTTTCTAAAAGTAGTTGCTTTCTCAACTACTGCTAAATGTTTTCTTCACCTTAAAGACTAGATATTAGGTATCACATTTTTCTCATAGAAAAAAATTCAGCAAATTTGGAACAAGCCTCTTTTTGGTAATATAAAAATTGGTAATTCATCTTTATGAGCCCATTCATCATTATGATTTTAAACTTAACCAGCAAAAGTCTGTGTGCTTAAAACTAAAACATAAACCAACCACCAGCAGCAGCAGCAGCAGTTGTAGTTGCAGTTCCTCCTGGCACTCCTCATCTCACTACAGATGATTTTGAGTTATACGTATGATAGAGTTCATATATCTTCCTCAGTGTGCATGTATGAGCTGCAGTGAGTACACTGAAAGTGGATGACAGAGTGATGGTCTCCTTCTTCTGTCAGGAAATCTAATGAGTTATAAATGTTGTATGTCAGACTGACATATAGCCCCATGTAGTAAATCTTGCTTATTTTCCTGGAGTGTTAGATAAAACAAATATGAGTATATGTCCTAAAAAATAATGTTTTGGGCACTCCAGTGAATCACCCTTGCCACCTCTGAGCAATATATCCTTTTGAAAGACTGTGACTTAGAAACTCTGATACTTATGAGGAATATATGTTCAATAAGATCTCTCAAACCTTATAAATTGGAGTCAGTATTGGAATTACGTAATTTGTTTTTATAGCCACCATTGACCGCTTCCTGGTTGTAATCCTCACCCCCTAGATTGTACTTAAGCTCATACACTAATTTACCCAATTCCTAACCAGTGGTAGGACATATCCAGGAAGGTACTTTGTTATCACATTATGTTGTAACATGGCCTTTTATGTATTAAAACTCTTATACATTATTATATGTTATACATCTACTTGTAAGAATTAAATGAAATATTGCAAAGTTTTTGATAGTTCAGTTATTAGGTCACATAGTAAATCCTTCTGTGTCAGTTAACTGAACTGAAAAGTGATCCTATTAGACAGCTTTTGATATTTTGCAGCTGTGACTCAGGGAAACCCAGAGGTCTTAGAAGTAGTTATGAAGGGAATCATGGCCACTGCACTGCCAGAATTGCATGTTACCATTCCACTCAAGATTATTGAGATCCCATATCTACCAGGCACTGGGTTAAGAATTGTGGGAAACAAGATAAATAAGAATGGCATACTCTCCTCAAAGGACTCACAGTCTAGGAAAAATTAAATATACATGCAAATAACTATAACAAGCCAGAAAAGGATGTCATAGGAAGTCAGAAAATATGCATCTAATTGGAGAAACATGAAAGGATTTATGGGGGAGAAGGTATATGTCTAAGGATTGATGGGTAGATAGGATTTTGATTGGGAAAAGAGGTACCAGGTAGGAGACCACCTATAGCAAAACCATAGAGACCAGAAAAAAGTAGTTCAGTTTGGCCGGGCGCGGTGGCTCACGCCTGTAATCCCAGCACTTTGGGAGGCCGAGGCGGTCGGATCACGAGGTCAGGAGATCGAGACCATCCTGGCTAACACGGTGAAACCCCGTCTCTACTAAAAATACCAAAAAAATTAGCCGGGCGTGGTGGCGGGCGCCTGTAGTCCCAGCTACTCGGGAGGCTGAGGGAGAATGGTGTGAACCTGGGAGGCGGAGCTTGCAGTGAGCCGAGGTTGCTCCACTGCACTCCAGCCTGGGCGACAGAGTGAGACTCCGTCTCAAAAAAAAAAAAAAAAAGGTCAGTTTGACTTGTTTGTAATGACAAGCCAGTTTGTGAAACTAGTTTGTGAGAACAAGGGGTGGGCATAAAGTTAGAAATATGAATTAAGGCCATGTCAAGAAGACCAATGAGGATCATGCCTAAGAAATTTTAAAAATTCTATAGGTATAGAAAAACTTGATTTTTTTTTTTGGACTGGGTGTCAAAACTGTGTCTTGAGAAGATTAGTGGACAATTCTCATCATAAAATATCAGTAAACTGAAAAGTGACAGACTAGAGACGAAAAGTCAAGGAGGGAATGTTCCAAAAGCCGAGGATGATTTAGGGGCCATTCGTGCAGCTAGTCATCAGATGTTTGTGGATTACTCACCCAGAGCACTCAAGTGTCTGTAGGTAGAGTAGAATAAGCCAGTGGAGGAGTGATTGATGGGGCTGTTTTTGACCCAAGGGTGGGGTGGCATCTGAAGGTGGGAGTAAAAGAGGTATAAGACAACATCTGAACAGAATAAAGTTGAGAAAAGCTGTGATGGGTAATTTTGAGATCAGGGAAGTTTGGACTTGAGGAGAGTAAAAGTTTGGGCAGTGAGTGAAAAAGTCAATCTGAGAGCACTAGGATTACACATTGCAGTGTGAAGGGCCCATCTGATGATGCATAACAAGATTTTGTATTAGATAGTCTCATGTAAGAGAATATAATCTTGACTTTACCAAAAGAAATGTGAACTTTCATTTACCAAGAGTTTGAAGACATATTATTCCTAAGCCTTGAAATATTAAATATTAAGTCTATCCTAGATCTTGTAGGTAAGAATAAGAGCTGTGGTATTAGAATGCCTCAGTTTGACTCCTGTTTTATTCAGTGACCTTTGCCAAGTTACTTAGCATTTCTAACATTTCATTTTCTTAGAATGAAAATAGTAGCTCACTAAGGAGGGTATTTTTTAAGGATAAAATGGAATAGGAAAAGTGGTTGAAATAGGGCCTGTGACATAAAGGCTCAATATATTTTGCTTATTGTTATCACTTATCCAGTAAGTATATATTATTTTTCCTCGAGTTAGAAATCCAAATATAGTAGAAAAGGCTAATAATATTTCAAACAATCTGAAACAAGTCTACTTGAGAAAGTTGTACTCTAGTATAAGAGAGACATCAATTTGGACTGGAGTTGCTTTTTTTTTAAGCAAACTTTTATGGAAATAAGACATCCAGCAAAACTTCAAATCATAATGGTCCAGTTCAATGAATTTTCCAAAGTGAACACGCCTATGTAGACAATGCTCAAACCAATAACATCAGCACCACAGAAATTCCCCCACATCCCGCCTTGCAGTTACTATCTTCCCAAAAGGTAACCCTTTTCTGACATCAAACATAATAGATTCATTTGCCTGCCTTTGAACTTTTTTGAATGGAACTTAGAAAATTTGTGACAGTTAGGATACTGTACTTGAGACTCATTTACGTTGCGTGTAATTGTAGTTTCCCATTGCAATCCTAGTACTGTATTGTATAAACATATAACTTCTATGACTTGTATATAACTTGTATGACTTCTATGAATAGATGAATTAATATGATTTGTATTAATATTTATCCTTCAGTTGACAAACATTTGGGATTGTTTTTAATGTGGGACCTACAAACAATGCTGTGATGAGCATTTCTCAGACATGTCTTTCGGTGAACATGTATATCCATATCTGTTGGTTAGGTAGCCAGGAGTTGAATTGCAGGATCTTAGTGTATCTAGTATAAACTAGTGTAAACTAGTTTAGTTTTAGTACATACTATATGACAGTTTTCTAAAGTGGCTGTATGAGAATTCCAGTTGCCCCAAATCCTTGTCAACACTTGATATTATCAGACTCTTAAATTTTAGCAATTCTAGTGAGTGTGTCGTGGTATTTCTTTGTGGTTGTAGTTTGCATTTCTCTGATGGCTAAATTGTTTATTCCCAGGGGATATCATATTTTTCTGAAGCACCTATGGAAGTCTTTTGTCCACTTTTCTACTGGATTTTCTGCATTATCTTACTGATATATGGGAGCTATTTTTTTGTTCTGGATATAAGTACCCTGTTAAATATATGTATTGAAGGATGTATCACCTTTTCATTTCAGTCTTTTATGGTCATCCAATCCCAGGAATAGCTACTGAGAAGTAGCAACAGTAAACGAGTTTCTATTTCTTTGCATTAAGTAGATAGATGGGAGATTCTGAGAGGATTAAAGTGAACAAATATGGAGAGAACAGCAAACTGTTCTGTTTAGAGAATGGATGGCTTGTGTGTGTAGCAAAGATTTATTTTAAAATTATTTGAAAGGCAAACTTTTTAGGAGAGAAAACTTGCTACTTTACTCTGCTGGTTTACTTAAGAGAAGAAAGATTAGTCTCCCTGCACTATTTCTCCTTTTAAAAAATGTTAAATCCCTAATTTATAATCTTTATGAATTTCTATTAAGTTTATTTATTCAGTAGATATTTACCTAGAAGTTACTGTGTGTTAGACACCAATAGATATGGAGGATAAAAATACAATTAGATCAGGACATAAGAGAGTTTTTATTACAGGAGGTTAAAAAATGTTAAAACGAAAGAATATACATGTGGTTAGTTCTGCACACACAATCTTATGAGTGCAGAGGAAAGTGTTTAGGAGTGTGGTGGGATATGGGATGGGAAAGATTCCTGAAGGACTGAAAAGGGAAGAAATGAATTTTCTTCTCAATCAATCAAGTTTCATTATTGTTAGCTTATTCAGGTGTTTTAAATATCAGTTTGATGTTTGGTAAAGAATTCTACCTCTGGAAGTTAGAATCCATTCAAAATCAGTAGAAACTTGCAATGAAATTAAATTTGCAGGAAAAAATAGTTTTATAAAATCAATTTGATATGTTTAATCATTAAGTATAGATTATTGAAATACTTAAACATGATTGTCACATTATTTTGAGACAAATATTTCTTTTAAGGTGATACTTATTAATAGTAAGAATTACTCTAAATTAAAATATCTCTGAAATATGAGTAACAACATACCTAAAATACCAAAGCAAGATCTACTTTCTTATAATCATTAAAATTGTCAGAAAAAGACTTGCTCACAGTAGAACCATTTCTATTTCTTTCCTGTAACTTTTTTCAAGGTGTAAACATTGAAAAATTTAGGAAAGTTCATGTCTTCTATTATAGTAGATTTTGCCCATCATACACAAACCCTATAATAGTTGATAGAAAAAATCAGAAGACATTTTGTATCATTAATGATTAATCATTCTGTTTGGGATGTCATTAAATATAGTGTGATAATTAAAATGTGTGAATGATCATGTGTAAATGATAATGTGTAAATGATGTGACTGTTCTTTTTAGGAGAAGGTAAGAATAAAAGAAAATTTATACTGATACACTAATAAAAAAATTATTACCGGCCAGGCACGGTGGCTCATGCCTGTAATCCCGGCACTTTGGGAGGCCAAGGCGGGCAGATCACGAGGTCAGAAGATCGAGACCTTCTTGGCCAACATGGTGAAACCCCATCTCTACTAAAATACAAAAAGTTAGCTGGGGGTAGTGGTGCGTGCCTGTAGTCCCAGCTGTTTGGGAGGCTGCGGCAGGAGAATGGCTTGAACCTGGGAGGTGGAGCTTGCAGTGAGTGAGGTGGCACCACTGAACTCCAGCCTGGGCGACAGAGCCAGACTCTGTCTCAAAAAAAAAAAAAAAAAAAAAAAAAAATTATTTCCTATTCTGCTAACTAGAGAATCTATCTAAGGGCAACCTCTTTATTGTTTATTCGTGGGCCTTAGGAGAATTTTCACATCTAGAAATAGGGAAGATAATCAGACATGATGCCTCCCTCACTCATGGACATTTCTTCTGTGACAGGGAGCTGGCTCACGGATAGTGGCTCAAATGGGATCCTGTCTCCTTGTCAGCATTTCTCGTCTAAAATTGGCAAGGTGTCAATCTTAGGTGAAATCAGGAGAACTTTCTTGTCTCTGCTGATCTACAGGATACCCGTTAGAGTCAGAACAAAACAACAGAAATCTTGAAAAAGAGATCTATTACATGTAGCTTTCCTTTCAAGGTTATTTTTGTGGGACTAAAGATCATTCAACTCTGCGCCATTCAGATAAAGTAGATTGCATATTTAAAAGGTCTTTGTTGTGCATATACATTGCAACTTTGTAAAACTTCACCCTTTAAATAAAAATGCTCAAGCAACTGAATTTTCTCTCTACTGAAGAGTAAGTGTAGGATAGTATATCAGATCTTACATTTCTGGAGCAAAAATGTTAGACAATTTGAAGCTTTGTAATGTAAAAAAAGTATAAAAATAATTTGAGAAGAAATACAGAAAGCATATGTAAGCCTGATTAACTCTGTATATACAAGTTTGCTCCTGTGGTTTTTTCCTACATAGCATCGGTTCATTTCTTTATTCAGTAAACATTTATGGAACTGGTTTCTGCCGTTATTGAGTTTAGCATTCTCATTTATAATTTCATCATTTTATTCAAATTTCTAGTGTGTTAATAAGGTATTCCATTTTTTCATATATGGTAAAGTAGGTGATTTAATATTATGGTATACATTGAGGAGGTACCTTAAGAGATTTCTTTGTATTTTATTAAATGTTCTCTCTAAAGTTTTCTGTGTCACTCTGAGGCTCTGAAAATTTTACATAGTTATTTTTAAAGTCAAAATGTGGAGAAAACTATGATGGATAAAACTCAGTTTCTTACAGATTGAGGAAATGTTTCTTTATATTTTTATTTATTTTTGATGCTTAGAAAAATTCTAGAAAAGTTTTTAAAAGAGACATTACTTGGAAAGATGTTTAGCTTATGGTATTAAAAAGCAGATGCTGAGCCAGGCGTGGTGACTCATGCCTGTAATCCCAGCACTTTGGGAGGCTGAGGTGGGTGGATCACCTGAGGTCAGAAGTTCAAGACCAGCCTGGTCAACATAGTGAAACCCTATCTCTACTAAATATACAAAAATTATCTGGGCGTGGTGGTGGGCGCCTGTAATCCCAGCTACTTGGGAGGCTGAGGCAGGAGAATCGCTTGAACTCGGGAGGCACACGTTGCAGTGAGCCGAGATCGTGCCATTGAACTCCAGCCTGGGCAACAAGAGCGAAACTTTGTCTGAAAAAACAAACAAACAAACAAACAAACAAACAACAGATGCTTTTTGAAAACCAATTTTATCAAAAGGTAAAATTTAAAAGTCTGGGGAAAACTTAAAGGTTTCATTTAGACACCTGATGTCATAGTAAAAGAGGCAATATAAAACTTTGACACTTATTTGATAATTTTGAAGACTAAAGGATAGCAGAATCCCTTTCTGTCAAAGGATGCCCCATAATTCAGGTAGAATTTGCATTTTTCTCATCTGAGTAAACAACAATAATGCAATATGTTTTCATTAGTTCATAAATACTGTATATATCTAAAGAGTTAAATTATTGTGATTCTTGAAATATTTTTAAGATATGTTTTTCCCTCTCTTTTTATCATATCTTTAAAATTGCAGTTTTCTCTTTCTTATCCCTTCTTATCTACACAAAACATAAATTCTTTGAAGACAATTTTCAATTGAAGTGCATAAAGCTTCAATTGTGTCCTAGTGAAACTTCCTAAAGTTGGAGGCCATACATAATACAATATAGCCCATTTCTTTTTAGGAAAACTAAGTAAACATTTGCTTCCAATTCTCATTCTGCACTCTGAAGTAAGAATCAATCAAATTCCTCCTCTATAGGGCAAATATTTGAAGACAGTTGTTTCTCTCTGCCTTCTGCTTTCCAGAAATCCAAGTCTTTCCTCCCCTAGAAGTAATCTCTAATCCTTTCATCTATATCTTTTGATATTTACCCTCCATATTGCCAAATAATAGGCTTATTCAGCTGTTTCTGGATATATCCAAACAAATTTACCTATTGACTCCCTTTTATAGAGGTTGAGAATTCCAAATTAATTCCAAATCAATTTTGATTAAGTCAGCAGTGCTGTAATGTCAGTGTGGAACCAAGTAGTGTACTGTACTTTGAAATGTTGCTCCTTTCTTACACAACTCTTCATTTTTCCTAGGGAGGATTGCCTTGTTTTAAAATTTGCTTAGTTTCGTTATGTTTTAATCACTGTTTTTTTCCTTAAGGGCTTGAACAGCTATGTAAAATCTCCATGAATGGTTTTTCTAAATGCTCAGATATTTCCTCTGTTTTGGACTCCTTCCAGAGACCCCTCCAACCCCAGTCTGCCTCCTCTGATCTGGCACAGATGACCTTAACCCTGCTGTACCAGTCTCTCATCCTGTGTTTTGGTTTTGATAACTTTTTCTTACATCACATATGTTTCTCTTTTTTTGGTTTACCCTCTCATACTAAAACACTTCTTCCTGCCTGTACCTTCCTTAAAAATGAAAAAAAACGAGAGGTGCAATTTTCCTTCTGTGCAAACCTGGAACTGACTTTAGTCAATCCTTATATTGGAATAATTGACTAGCTATAAAATTCTAGCTTGAAGATAATTTCCCTCAAAATTTTTAAGGCATTGCCTATTTTACTTTAGCATTCTGAGCTATTATTGAGAAGTCCAAATGCATTCTGATTCCTTCCCTATTGAATGTGCCCTTGTTTCCATGCCTGTTCCACTGAAGCTTTTGGTATTTTCTTTCTGTTTATTCCTGTCATTCTTACAGTTTCTGGTGAAGTGACTTAGTGTTAACGAATGTGCTTAAAATTTACTTTGCTATACATTCTTTCTGTAGGCTCTTTCATTAAAAAGATTTGTGTTGGGAAAATTTGTTGTATTACACTTTGATAATTGCTATGCAACCATTTTTTAAAAAACTCTTTCTGGTTAAATATTGGGATTCTTGGATTGGTCTTCTAATTTTCTTGTTTTTTTTTTTTTTTTTTTTTTTTTTTTTGAGACGGAGTCTCGCTCTGTCGCCCAGGCTGGAGTGCAGTGGCGGGATCTCGGCTCACTGCAAGCTCCGCCTCCCGGGTTCACGCCATTCTCCTGCCTCAGCCTCCCAAGTAGCTGGGACTACAGGCGCCCGCCACTACGCCCGGCTAATTTTTTGTATTTTTAGTAGAGACGAGGTTTCACCGTTTTAGCCGGGATGGTCTCGATCTCCTGACCTCGTGATCCGCCCGTCTCGGCCTCCCAAAGTGCTGTGATTACAGGCGTGAGCCACCGCGCCTGGCCTAATTTTCTTGTTTTTATCTTCCTATTTCTACTTCTGTCTTTTGATTTTACTTGATGGGAAACTTTATCAATATTTAAACTATATATTGAATTCTTTATTTTAGTTATATTTTTTAATTATCAAAAGGTTTGTCTTGCATTCTTATTGTTTTAGTGTCATAGTATTCTATTTTTGTTTTGTCCATATAGGATCTACATTTCTCTCATAACTACAGTATTTTTATTTTCAGGGGATAGTTTCTCTTTATTTTCTCTTGATAAAAACACACTCAGGATTTGAGAAAGGAAGTAAAAAAAAGGAATACAGGTTAGTATGCTTTTAGGTTATTGTGTCAAGCACTATTTCAGGTTTCTTCATACATTATCTAATTTAATCTCACAACCACCTTGAGATGTAAGTGTTATTATTATCATAGCTTCTGACAGCTGAGATTCAATTGTAGGCCTCTGACACCAAATCCCATGTACTGCTAGATTAGTATTCCATCTACTACTCTCCACTAGTGAAAATGATGAAACCCCAACTTAAATATTGATACAAATAGTTAATTTTGTGTAATTAAAGGCAAAATCTTAGAAATTAACTTAAATTCATTGAAATATGAAATTAATCTCTAAAACATTCTCCCCTCAGCTTTTTTTACATATGGAAAACAGACATTAATATGTGCAGTGGGTATGGTCTTTTAATCTCAACTCTGACATTTCTCTTTTCAAAGCATCCTTAGAACTCATTTATTTCTCATCTCAGAGTACTCTGTGCATATTCCTTTTTAGGCCTTTATAACCCTACTTAAAAGCATAGTTCTTGGCTTTATGGCTGTTAACTCCCACAGCTAGCACATAAAACATTTGTGGGAACTTGAAATGGTAAATCCTGCTATTTTGTTGGCACTTGATTTTAAGAATTTTGTAAATGTTACCATAGTAATGCCTTAAAAGACAATATTTTTGTAAAAAGGTATGCTTTAGATATTTTTCTAATCTCTTTAGCTTTTTATGGTCTACTCACACTGAATAGTTTTCTGCATTTGTCAGTCCAGGAAGGCAGACGGTCATGCTTCTGGGTGTAGGCTCTCAGGGGTAAGATGGGAGTGGAGTTTTTATAATGGAATGTGGCACACATTCTTTCAAAAGCAGTGTTTCATTTGATTTGTGTAAAAACATTAAGAAAAAGTAAATTCACAATAATGGCCCCAAAGAAATTGTTAAAAATAGACAAGATTTGCATTGTTCTCATATTAACCATACCATTTTTCTCCATGTCACCCTATACTTGTAAAGGTTCATGTTACTGGATGAGTCAATAAAAACTCCAAACAGGAACTCTTTAGATGAGTTTCACTTGCTAAACAGATTTTATAGAGGAGTCTGAAATGTTCATTTCCCCTTTGTAGTACATACAAAGAATATTATTAGAAAGTTAAAAATATAAATTACAAGCTTTAAATGAATGGCAGTTTTTCTTGAGTATTTTTTGCTACAAATAGTGCTCACATCTTGAGTTAGACTTACATTTACTATTGCTTCTACCAAAATAAACTCAAGTTCAATAACTAATGTTTGCAGGTTTGAAATGATTCTTTATCAAAACTTATTATTGAAGAAAATTAATCCAATAATTGAGTCCTTTAATTCTCACTCACTAGGATGATTTCTTGTTCCGATTTTCTAATAGTTATTTGTGGAAAATAATATTATAAAATGAGATAAGTGAATATTTCTGTACAAGATACTTGCATAAGTTACTGCAGCTTTCCCTCAGGTTTTATATTTGAAAGTGAAAATAATCACAAAACTTTTCCAAAGTTATAATATAGAAAATATTAATAATTATAGTAAATTATCTTTAAATATTACTTCCAATTGAGTTAGATGAATTACATGTAAGTTCTCTCATATTGCATGAATTAGCCAAGAACTGTAAATCCATTATGAGTGTACATACATGTACATATATGCTCAAAATAATATAAAATTATATATTATTATTACAATGATATTAATTTAATCGAAGTCTGCTGGATATATTTGTTGTTAATCATTTGGTTTTTTCCTTTAAGTTGAGAGTCAAATATATTTGCAAATTAATCTGATTTTTAAATTTTTAAATGTCTGGAGCTACAAATTTTAAATATGATTAGATGCAATGCAATTGAATGAAATATTTCAGTGGTAAATATTTTTAAAACCAAATGCTTTCTTGGCTTATTAGAGCTGAATAGTCAAAGAATGCCTGTAACAAGTTAAAAAGGACATTTTCAAACTCCATTAAACTTTAAAACTGTAAGTATTATCTTTCAGGAAGCACTATGAATGGGGTCCCTGTTGATGGATTTAGTGTCTTACTCCTTAGAGCACATGTGTATTGAATTAAAGGAACAGTAGCAGTACTATTTTAGAGTTGACACTCTAGTCTTAATATGCATATTTTGTCATTTTTTTTGTTTTAAGCAGAAATATATCCTACTACTCTATTATAGCTACTTTAATGTTTTACTTTGCTAATAATTGAGACGCTCAGTTTAAAAAAGGTTTCTTCATTCTAGGTAATTCCCTCAATTACAAAGTAGTTGTATAAACTCATATCTAAGATTTTACTGTAGTGGGCTTTTCTCTTAGATCTCCAAGTATCATTGGCTTCTGGAAGATTTCAGAACTATTGGGGTTTAGATATAGCCTCTTTGTTTTATTTAGAGAATGTTATTATAGGCTTCTAAAAAAATGAAAGACATATACAGGGATGCATACACATGATAGTGTTTTGTTTCTCAGAATATCTAATTTCTGGTCTGTTTTGACTTGAAATTCTGTCATTTCCTGATTTAATATGTTGTTTCATACACTAATCTTTTATTTCATAATAGTGTTCTAAAGACATTTAATATAATCACTCAAACATCATTTAAAGAATTATTTAGCAAAATAGCTATAATATGTTTTTTATTAAAAATTTTTAATTTAACTTTGCTGCAGATGCATAAAATAGTTTAATTTTGAAAAGAGATAAAAACAGGATAAATAATACATACTCTAATGTTGAAAAGTTCACTGATACATTTGGAATTGCCAAAGACTAAAGAAAACACAACTAATCCTCTCAAATTGTTCCAAGAGAGACACTCCAACATCTGATTATCTTTAGCTATTATAATATGTGGATGTTTAAAGAAAAACCACTCTATTTTATGTATTGCATGATACATCTTATGAAGTTGCACTTATCTTGATGGAAATGATTTCTGGTTTGTAATGAGAAGCTGGATTTGAATTTGTAATGTATAATATGTGTGTTTCCTTAAGTTTACCTTTACTTAAACGAAAAGGTTGCATGAACCCTCAGCATGTTTTCTTTGGTTGTCTGCAGAAATTAGCTAATACCTGGCATACAATGAGCAATAGGATAGACATAATACCCAGCCATATGGTTATAAGTGCTTACATTTTCAACGATGACTTATGCACCTTGCTGTCAGAAAGCAGACAAAGAGAAGTGACATATCTAGTAATAAAGTAAAAATTTGTTTTTGTCTGATCATTTGATGACTTCTAAATTATTATGTTTTGAAAAACAATCAGAAAACTTCAAAAGCCAAAGTGAAATTGAATAATATCACCTCATTTATTTTTACTCAGTTTTGTATTTTCTTGTCGTCATTTTTTGTTTAATAACAACAATAGAGGACTAAAATAAAATGGTTGAGGGAGAAAAATGATAATTATGAAGTTTATGTCTAGTTAGGTTATTTATGGTAGCTGAAAAATTAAGTTTCATAATTTTTAACCATTCCCAAAATGGTTTTTGAAAAAGCATATGAAATGTTTACAATTATATTATCAAATTTTGAAATATTTAATTTATTATTATTATTATTATTATTATTATTATTATTATTATTATTAGAGAAGACGTCTTCTTCTGTTGCCCAGGCTGCAGTGCAGTGGGGTGATCATGGCTCACTGCAACCTCCGTCCCCTGGGCTCCAAGAGTCATCACACCTCAGTCTCCCAAGTAGCTGGGACCACAGATGTGCATCACCATCACCATGCCTGGCTAATTTTTTTTTTTTTTTTTTTTTTTTTTTTTTTTTGTAGAGATGAGGTCTCATTTTGTTACCAGGCTGATCTCAAACTCCTGGGTTCAAGCAATCCTCTGGCCTCAGCCTCCCAAAGTGCTGGGGCTACAGGCATGAGCCACCCCACCTGGCCTCTATTTAATTTTAAATATTTTCCTTATCTGCAAATGTGGAGGCATGTTTAAGGAGTAGTAGTTTAACTGTTGTAAGATACTTCTAGTTCTTACTGATTGACCTGGAATAACTAAACAATCTGTGCTTCAGCAAAAGAGTCATTGCCAAATTCACTCATTGAAAGTTTGTTCAGCTGGCAATAATTTAGGCTATGTATGGATTTAGAAAATTTTAAATTATAACACAATAATTTATATGAAGGAAACATGTATGAAGGTAAACTAGGTTTTCTTTAAACTCCCTCTCAATAATCAACTTTATCTTAGTAGTCACTAAAAATATTTAACATAAAACTTACAGTTGATATCAAAGCCTTTTTCTAATATTGTGTTTCAAAGACTAATTTTTAGTGTATTAAATATTAGTTTTGATACTCTTAGAGAAGTTTAACTAAAGTTTAGATGATTAACATAAAAACAAATATATATATCTTCATCCATAGATGAAATGATGTAGTAGCAAATGAAATGGATATTTACTACTTTTGTAGCCAAGCTTAATTAAAAGATCCAGTGGATAAATAATGCTTACTCTTAATTTTAATTTCATTTGATTTTTTATACACCAAACTTCAGATATTTTTTTCAAATAGCCAGCTGAGGGATTTTTATAGCTAAAATTGAGGATGATCATTACTATGTAAAATATCTATTACGTTGGAAATGTACCATCTAAATCAGTTCATGTGGTGCCAGCAGAATATCTACCACTTCAGACAAACATTGGTCAGTAAGTTGATGCAAGATCCTGTGGTTCATGGTGCGTTGGTATTATTTCCTCCTTGTAAAAGAAAGGTAGAATGAGTCATGACACACTAAATTAAAAATGAGTGATTCTGGGTGCTTTCTATTTGTGTGTGTGTGTGTGTGTGTGTGTGTGTGTGTGTGTGTGTCCCCACAATATGTCTGTTCTCAGCAGATTTTATAGTCTGGAAAAGAAAAGAGACATAGAACAGACACTTTCAGGTGTACTGAGTATAGCAAAGGATGCTAAAAAAATTCTGTAAGAACCCTACCTAATCTGGTCTAAATTGGACATCAGACATCCTCCATCAGAGAAGGGAGTTTCGAGAAGGAAATGAGATTTAAACTCAGCACTGAAAAATACGTGGGGATGAAATGGGTGAACGTGTTGGGGTGGGAGGAAATGATATGATGACATGTGCAATGATATGATGACTTGAGCTGGGAATGAACAGAATATTTTCCGGGAAACAACATTCATACGTCGACTCTCCATCTCTTCTCTATCTGTCTCATCTTCACTATTCCATTTGCTTTATGGGAGACATTTTCAGTCTTGTCCTGAATCTAATCAATGTGATATTCTGCAGTACTCTTTTTAGTTCTTTATTGATTTTATTTTACTTTGCATTTTGCTATAGCATTACAGATGTCTTTAGAGTTTTCTTAGTTTGGCTATTTCTCTCTTTAAAAAAAAATGCCTTTCATCTTACCTTTACCCAGAGATGTATATGAAATAGGTATTTTATAGTTACCCAGCTTGTAAAATCTATAAAGGGCACAGTTTATGCATGACTAGTGTAATAGTTACTTTTCAGGGATATACAATTACTAGTTTGGGTACATATTAATTCTAACCAGTACCTGTATGTTTCCCCCTACTGTCAGAAAGGATACAGTGCCAGATCAATATAATAGTTTAGGGAAGCCTAAAAAAAAACAAGGCTTCCATTTCCTACAACTGAAACTAAATGAATTTTATTTCCTTATTTTATTTTGTTTAATAATTTAAGTTTCCAGAATTAATCAAGAAGACTCCCACAAATTAAGTCAATACATTCATTCTTCTGCAGTATCCTTACATATAAACAAAAAAATCCGCACCTCAAATATGAGAAGTAATCTTATTCTATAATTATGTACAGCTTTTCTCTAAAAATAAAAATATACTTATTCCAAAGTTATCATGTTAGAGGGGACTAATTAACTTCAGCTCTCCATTCTGGAAGGCAAAGTACCAGCCAACTAGAACAACTCTAAAGATCTACTACATTTTCAGGCCTTGCAAATTTTGCATTTGTTTCAAATGCCCTGTTTTATCTTAGACATTTGTCTGCACATAATTTATAAGAATTATCAGTTCAGGGCACTTGTATGTTTATTTAGTATCACTACTTCTGAAATGGGTTGTGTGCTGTATCTACTGCTCCATAGTAGTCATGGAAAAAAAAAATCTCAGTAACAGTTTAAGACTATGTCAATTAAGGGAACTAGGGCTGATTTTTGAGAAAAAGTCTTTTGATGAGAATGCTAGAAATGAATTATACAGCACTAAATAAAACTTCAAGACTATGATGGTGTCAGAGTTATAAAATGGAGGGGAAAAAAACAGCAGATTGCTGGGATACCAGAAGAAAAAACTGCATGTTTGAATATTCCTACCAAATGGGCTATTTTGTGGAATCCTTACAACTTAGAATGTATTATGGTTTGAAAGGAAGGTATCATTTCACTAGTTGTTTACTCTATGGATGCCTCATTCCAACTAAAACATAACTGTTTGCATAACATGTCCTGTTTTACTTTAAAGAAATTCCCAGATGGAATTCCATCAGATATGATAAAATACTGGATGTATTCCTTTTTAAATCTTGAGGATAGAATCTGTACTTACCCTCTTCAGATCTTGGAGAAAAAGAACTTTACTTTAAAAGTATAAAGCATAATTTATTTTATAATTCTTTGATTTTGTATTTTTTTCTAACATTCCTAGAGGACTTTTGGTTTTTTAACCAATAAATATATTTCATGGAATTTAAAATTTTTAAGTAAATTATTTTAGAGTTTAATAAAAGCAAATTAAAAATTGCTTATACCATTAATAAACATCCATCAGCTGATAGTTATTACACATGCCACTTTGTAGGTGATATGGGTGATCTAAAAGGACTTGACCTTCAGGAAGCTGGGTAGATGAAGCATGTGACAAAAGTTGAAAATGCAGAAAATGATGAAGTGCTAAAAACAGGGTAGGACTCAGAAGAGTTCAGGGAAGTGAAAGATTGATGTGTATTTACCCTAGACATGGGATTGAATTAGGGCTTTAAGGATAATTATTAGAGGAAGTGATTAGTCTAGGTAAAGAAAATAATGAGTTAGGCCCTGTTTTTGAGCGAATGTGTCACATTAAGGAGAAAGCAATTATACTTAAAGAGAGCAAAGGTTTGCATGGTGAAAAGCAGCAAAATATGAAGTTGGAAAGGCATGTTGACTAAAATTTGGTGGATCAAGAAAGCAAGGAGTATAAGTTTGGTTTGCTATTAAGACAATAAGAGAGCCATTGTTAGCACTTGAGCAAAAAAAAAAGCATAAAAATATACTTATAAATTATAAAATATAAAGATTGATAAAAATAGATTTATGTTTAAATTATGTTCAATGACAATAACAGTCTGGATTAGACTAGTAATAAGTTATATTAGTTTAATAGATTAAAGTAACAAAGAAGAGAGAGAAGCAAAGATGACCTAAAGTTATAGAGTAGAAGACTATTCAGTTTCTTGAAAAATAATTATTAACTTTGGCAGTGTACTACATGTGTGAGTTTATATTCCACTCATAGATAATGCTTATAGAGGAAATGTATTGCTGAATTCTTAATTAGAATTTGGAATTTAACCTGTCTCCTCTTATGTTACATAGCTTTGTAAATGAATTGGCCATTCTTATCAGAAATGCCAACAACTTACTGTATATTTACTGGCTGATTCTTGGATTCTTGGCATTGTTAAACGAACTCTGGGAATTTTACAAAACAGACACAGCTGGACAATGTCTAGATAAGTCATATCAAACATACACATAAGACCATTCATCTTTGTCCATCAACAAACCTACCTCTCCTTCAAGAATGAATTTAAATATTATCTTCTCTTTGAACACTTACAAATATCCTAGAAAGAAATGGCTACATTTCATGAATTTTTAAATTCTATCATACTTTTTATTGTATCCTTTTAATGGTATTTGGTATCGTGTAGTGTTTTTGTTTTTCTGATCTTCATTGAGTGCAATATTAAGACCTACACTGGTATAATTCACTTCATAGATGATGTGTATCATTTAGATTATAAGCACTTGGAGGATACATCAAGGGCAAAAGCAAGAGATGCTGTTTAATGAATCTTTGCATGACTATTCACAGTAATTATTACCTTTTAATAAAGTGGCTAGCAGAGGGAGTAATAAATGCTTCCTTTGTTCAAAAAGTAACAATTTAAAAGTATTATTTAGGGGAAAATTATTCTTCCATGTGTGAACATGTACATACTCAAAGTAGTCAGCACACTCCATGGTATATACTTGATACTCAATAATATTTGAATTTTTTTTTTTAGTATAGAATAGGTTATACTCTGAAAAATAAACAATGAAGAAAAGAAAGAGGCAGGGTAAGTGCCCAAGATAACATGGTCAGGAACGGTAAAGCATATAGGTAGGTCTAGATCAATAGAAGGAAAGAATGTATCTTAATACAACATATGAAGATCCATTAGAGATTTTCACAGAACCAAGTGTGCTCTAAGCAGCATGGAATGGCTGTATTAATGAGGTGGAGGAGAGGTCGAGAACATCTAAGATATGATAATAGTTCTTAATAATCAATGCATTATTGCAACATATTGCTAGTAATATAAAAAGGTAAATTTTCTCCAGACTGTTCATTTTTTAAAAGTTTAAAGTATTTGAGTATCAAATAGGCCATATAGTCTAATATTCTATGAGTTCACAATATGCATAAAATGCATAATGTGTTTCTAAATGAAACCATATGCCAACAACTGTCTCAGAGGAATGAGAAAGGTTGTCTGAACTCCATGACTTCTTTGCTTAGCTTTCCCCTGGTACATATATCATGCTGAAATTGTCAATATCCTCTCTGAGACTATATGAAGGAAAATGGTAGAAGAGCAAGCTAATGTTTACTGAGGATCTACCAAGTGTAGTAGGACTGGGTTAGACATTTCATATTCTTTATCTTATGTTAATCTTCATAACAAGTTTGTAAGATTGATGCTACTACTCATGTTTTATAAATGAAAAAAAATCAAGACTTGGACAGGTTATGAAATGTGCCTAAAGTCACCCAGCTATAAGTGGCAGAAGTGATACTCAATGCCAGAGCCCAAGTGCTTTCTACCATATTGCACTGTCCTCACTCATAAAATGAAAACTGGCTGACAAATGAAGTCAAATCGTTATTTTACCTATATTTTTAAAAAGACTTCAGTTATTTTTTGTTTACTAAATAAATCAGAAGGCCGATGGTAGAGAAAGACATCTTCCAGACTGATGCCAAAAACAACCTGAACTGAAATGCTGTTAAAAAAATAAACTTTCTGCTTTCTCAATCAGTTTTCTGCACTGAGAGATTACTAAAATTTTTTAACATAGAAAACATACTTTACAGTATAGAAAAGCATGTGGAGATAAAAATAGAATGGGTATTGATGCTACAAGATTGAATACAAGTTTTATTGGATGATAAAAGGAGTTAGTTGAGGATAGTCTAACCTTAAAAGATTTGAAGCATTGTTGTGTCAGAAGAGTACCTGGTATATTGTAGACAATCAATACATTTTTGTAGAATAAATTATAAAAATGTAATCATATTACCTTATGATATTCACATTAATTGATGGTCCAGAGCAGATTGGTAACTTTTAACTTTTCACTAATTAGAAATACTAGAGCATATCTTCATAAAAATATCAAAGGAATTATGTGTGGATTGTTACATTTTGTACTTCTTTAAGATAAGCTTAAATTAATCAAGAAGAAAATGAATCAAGTGCATTCATATTTCTTTTCTAGTGCTCAGCTTCTTGTGGTAAAGGTAGAAAGTACCGTGAAGTGTTTTGCATTGACCAATTCCAAAGGAAATTAGAAGACACAAATTGCAGTCAAGTACAGAAACCTCCAACTCACAAAGCCTGTAGATCTGTCAGATGCCCTTCATGGAAAGCCAATAGCTGGAATGAGGTATATGATGTATATTTTATAATTATATATGTATTTTTTTGTATTTAAAAAGAAAATTCATTCTTATTTTTCATAACCTTGAATGTTTTGCTTCTCTAAAATTTATTGTTATATACTTTTTTGCACTATGCTGTAAGTTAGTATTAATACTAAACAGTGTTAACACATTTCCTAAGTTTATAGTTAAATAATAAATTAGTCATTTGATTTTTTAAAAAATTAAGACCAGTTCTTGCTATGTTGCCCAAGCTGTTCTTAAACTCCTGGGCTCAAGCAATCCTCCCATCTTATCCTCCCAAAGTGCTGGGATTACAGACGTGAGCCACTGTGCCCAGCCTAGTCATTTGATTTTTGTGACTATAAACTTAACAAGAAATTTTGTTACTGAATACTAGCAGAGGCTACTGATAATCATAATAGTATTCTATGCAGGCTAACAGAAAAATATATATGATGATACATTTAGTAACTGCCTTGTTTCTACCCCCAAATCTTGGATTTTAGCTAAGATTGAATCCTGGAGAAGGGACTGGTAAATTCCAGATGGGATTGTAATCCGAGATTGAGAGTTAGGAAGTTGTCAGAGATAGATAGCCTAGGCTGCGCTAGAATGAAAAGACTCACCAAAAATGAAAAGACTCAGCAAAAATGAAGCTGATAAATAAATGAGACCCTGGCTGACAATTTAGCCTGTAAAAGAAGGGTAATTGATACCACTTGGCATACTCAGAGGAAAGAGATCAAAATTTAAATTCGGGTAGGCATGCATTTGAAAATGACTGTCAAACACCACCAGCTTGGGAAATATTGACAGGACAAAAGCCATGAATGAAGTCAGAAAAGATAACTGGAATAATTTCCTGAGGACTAATTTCAATGGGTCTAGACTTTCAATGTAGCCATCTGGCTGCTCTCAGTAGTACCTCAGAGAGCTTATCTATTTCTTAAAGGGCCTAGTCCTGCAAAAGGAAAAAGACACCCATCTTCTGATGTTGGAACTTCCTTATCTCTGTCAGATGTTTGAGTTATGTCTATTGGGGAGCTAGAAGGAAATGGAGTTTCCCCTGGGGTCAAAAGTCATCATCATTCTCTCTTTGCGCTCAGCATGTCAATGCAGGGCACACAGCTTTGGAGTGGAATTATGTCAGTGCCTCACTGATACTGAATAAAAGCCTTCCAAATTGAGTAAAAATCTCAAATTTCTTTGTAGAAGAGGCAGCCTCTGTCAAGTGTTAATGTGCTGGGGCTTGTGGTCAATGTTTAATTGAAAACTAGATGCTAATGCATCTCTGTTTTTTATCCCACAAAAAAAGATGTATTATTGGGCATTTGCTTCTATATTGAATGTTCATCAAATAAATCAATTATTTTTCATGCTTTACCAGAGGTCATGATTTAAAAGATTTCTCTATTAACTTGTTTTATTTTGTAAATGTCACTACTCTCTACTAAGTTGTTCAAGAAAGAAATACTGGATCCATCCTTATCCTTTTTCCTTGCCTCCATAGTTAGTCACTCAACAGGTTCTCTCATCTCTTTCAAGTAGCTCTTGAATCTCCATTGCACACACCCCGGTCTAGTTTAATAGTTCATCATCATCTGTTCCTGAGTCTGTAATGGCCTCTCTACATATATTTTGGCCATTATTTACATTCACATAGTGTGAGCTCAGAAGAACTCAGATATGCTTGTGTCACTTAATATCATCTTGTGTCACTTAATATCATCTGTGACTAAGCATTATCCTTAGGGAGTAAGACTAAAACCTAACCCATGCTCACTTGTTCAGAATTATCTCAGACCAGTATCTCTTTTCCTCTTGGCGACAATGGACATTTTGTTTCCACACCTAGCTTTGTATCTAAGCTAAATACTTCTTACTTTGAATACTGTGATCTAATTGCAAAAATACTCACCATCTCTTAAATTATTATGTTTCCAATATTGTGGTTTTGCTTAAAGTGGAGGTTTGCCTTACTTGATCTGGATAGAGGTGTGTCAGGATAATGGCAAAGTAGCTTTCCCCTAAGCGTGTGAAACATTGTAAAGGCACTGAATATGAACGGCCACAGATCTGTCCAGCAGTTAACTCCCAGTTCCTACATCAGGCAGGAGCCACGGGGGCATGGGAGTGGAAGTGGGAGAGACTTTTTGTGTCTTGGCCACCAATATTCCTGTTGGTCCCAAAGATTCTTTTGCTGCGGTGCAGCTGCTGCAGCTGCTGTGGTTGGTATTCATGAGAGACACTTTCTGTCTCTGAACCTCCAGCTCCACAATAGTGAATCCATCATCCGTGGTAACAAATTGGCCTTGGCTTACCACCAAATATGAAATTATATAAAATCTGCTAAAGGAACATATTTCTGGGGCTTCAAAAATACAGATATGAATATTTAAGGACTATAAAAAATAGATGCTTTTTTATATAATTTGCTTGCTTCTCCTTGAATTAGTTTTCCTTGTCATAGAAATTAGTTGCATTCACCCACACAGTCCCCAAATCTCTGCCAGAAACAAATGACCACTTGTGAAGTCATTGCCTTTTGATTTATTCTATAAAAAGCACCCACACGAAGTTAACAATTGCAAGCTGTCATTGCACTACATATAATAATGTATTAAACAGAAGCGTAATTTCAGAGGTAGTTACAAGATAATCACTGGTTGTTGCTTTATTCCGATTGTATAAATTGTAACATTACCTTAATATAATCACTCACTCTTAAAATAATTTCATTTTATTACTATTTTACATGATGCCTCAAATGGAAAGACTCATTTGGTAAATTTTGACCACAGAGGTGCTTAAATGAGTTTTGAAGGAACACTCTTCATTTGATATTTGTATCTTTTTTTTTAACGAAAGGATTTAGTAACGCATTTTAATGACTGTTGCTAAACAGGAACAAACATTGCTATACAGGGCCGTTTGTCCTCTATGTTCAAATGTATATCCTTAGATGCAAATTAAATAATTGAATCATTTAAAAGAAAAAATAATCCCACCCCACCCCCACTTCCTGGAAGCGAGGGGATTTTTTTTTTCGTTTAATTTTATCTATTTGGGAATAGCAGCTTCACTTGTAAATTCAAGTTTTTAAAGCTAGTATGGTTCTAGATTCTTCATTGTCTCAGGTCCCATCTACTTACTTTAGTGCCATCCAAATGCACAATCTCTAGGAAAAAAATATTCTGAATTCTCACCTCCCCTTAATCATGGCAAACCTGCTGGACAGCCTGTGTCCCCTCACCAGTGCATTCTTAATTACCTTGGTGAATGAAGTGTTTTCTTTGGACCTTCCTAAGAAGTATGGTCAGATAGTGTGTTCTCCAGTCTCATATAGTAAATCCATTCTAAAACTCTCAAAAAAAAAAAAAAAAAAAAAAAGAATCTCACACAACAGTATTCAATGTAGAACCAGGTCAAATCAGCCTCTTGGCTGCTTACACCTTCTTTGAGACCCATCATTTTCTTACTTGCATTTTAAGACCAGAGCTGGGACCAAAGGTGATATAAATTCCAAAATCCCACAAATCTGCTGCCCAGTGCTCCCCACCCAAAGCCCCTAATTTGGAAAAAAAAGAAAAGAAAGAAACTGTATGCTAAATGCTAGATGTTTAAGATATTTTGTATTTCTGTAATTCCATATTGTCTATATTTCAAAAATACATAAGTATAAATCTTTATTTCTATATTTTCAGAATTTCTGACATATACATATATGTTTTATAATTTGAAAAATAGTAAATGTTAATTTTTTAAGTCCCTAAAGCTCCTAAGAATCTGTGATCCCTTCATTTGAAATGTCAGGGTATTCAGTGACATTTCTACTGGTGAAGGTAGACTAGGGTTCAGGGACAGGGAGGATGCCCTCCTGCTTCCAGCGCTGGTTAAACTTTGCTTCCTAATTTTTTCTAGATAGTGAAATTCTATTTTTCATTTCAGTGCTATCTGTTAATGCTCCTCCTTTATCATCTTTCTTGATATTTAAAATGGCCTTTCTTGGGGTAGGCTGAGGTGACTAGCACTCTAACTTAGGGCATTTATCAAACTTTTCAAGGCATAAATGGTTGAATCTCCATAAGAAAAGTAAAAAAATGAGAAGAAGGGAGCAGCAAGGGACAGTCACTTCCTGATACTATATTAAGAGTTTTTATTCCCCACAAATGCAGGTTTTATTACGTTCATTAGACAGATGAAGAAACAGCAGCTTATAGAAAGGTTAAGAAGCTTGTGTAGGTCATAGTGCAGGAAATGTTGGGGGCAGGGATTTGAACAGAGGTCTAGTTGAGCTTTCTCCATTATACTAGTTATCGTTATCCCATTAATATCATTATACATTAGCTCATCCTTATATTTCCTTAGCAAATTATTGCCCCTTTGGCCAAGAAGGACACATGAAGTTCACAATTTCAGGCCGTCACTGCACTGCATGTAATAGTGTAGTCAATAGAAATGTAATTTCTAAGTTGTGCTGAATTCATGGCAAGTTTTTAATGTAAAAATGTCTGTTGCATAAATGTGAAATATTATATATATAGATTTTACAGGTTAAAGGGTAAATAACTGAGGATATAGTTGATCACATATTAAATATGATGGAGTTGCTTAAATCACTAACATACTAGGTTACATTAACAGAAGGATGATGTTCAAAGTGTTGGGCACTAATATATCCTGATCAGATATTTGAAGTGGTGCCTATTCTGGAATACAGATTATAAGTAAAATCTTGACAATTTTCCATATCCCTAGAGAAAAACAATTAAATGGTAGCAACTATGCTGTCAGTTGTCTAGTGTTCTGCTGCCAGTAGCAAGAGCCCTGATTTTATTAGTGATTTAAACTACAAAGACTTTTATTTTTCGTATAACAAAATCAGAGTGTTTCTGATTTTAATTTTAATTCAGCAGCTCTACAACATTAGGGTGCTGGATTGGCATTTCTGTGATTCTGTTGTTCAACTTGTAATGGTCATAAAATGGCTGCCACAGTTCCAGTCCTCACATCTTCATACTTTCTCACATGAAATTAGGTATGTATTTGTTCTACATTTAAAAGACAGACAGATTCTGGACAATGCATTAAAGTTTAAAAAATATTCTAGTTCAATATAAGAGAATATTTGCTAATATTGCAGATTAAAAAATGCCATGGCTGCTTTCACAATACGGTGAACATAGCCACAATGAAGTTAAGTATGGGTAGGTTTTATGGTCACTCATTCATTATTGTTATAGAAAGATTTCATAATGAAAGAGAAATTAGGATTACTTATTCCTAGAGTCTCTTTAACCTCAAAATACTATACTACTGCTAATGGTACTACTATATTATTGATTCCCTTGAAATAAACCATAGTTGCAAATAAGTGACTATAATGAAATCAAAACCTTATCCATAATAAAAAAATTATAAACAAGGCTTCAAAAGAGAAGACTTCCCTATTTTCATTTTAAATAATTATTTATTAAATAGCAGAGTGAGTCAGCCTTGATGAACCCATTTTTGCAATGCAGAATCTAATATTTCCTTATCTCTGCTCCGCAATAGCTATAATGGTTACAGTACCTGTGGATTCGCTAAAATTTACCTAATCCATTTCCACTCTCAAGTCTTTAAAGCACTAATGTATGCAGTGTTATATTTTTTCATAAATAGGATATTTATGAACTGTCTGGATTGAGTTATGTAATATAGATGAAGAAGTAGTGCATCCCAGTCAATTAGGTGGTGTTATAATTGCACTTACAGCTTCACAATGCCTTTACATTCATTACCTGGATTTTTTAAAAAAACGAAATTTGACATGCTTATATTAGTTCTATAACACTGTTAAAATAATGGATACATATTAAGGAGTTATAATGTACCTTGAGAAGCCATTCTAGTAAGCCACTTAAGAGTGGATGATAGTGTTTTCCCTGTATCTACAACCTTAGAAGAAAATGGCTTTGGGAAAAGGGAAAGAGTTCTGCTATGGAAATGTTACATTTTAGGTGCCTTTGACATATCTAAGTAGAAAACACATAAAAATCTTGTAAATACATGAAACGGTTCTTATAAATACATGAAAATGTAAATGCAGAACTCAGAACTGTGACCAAAGCTGGAGATAACATTTAGAAATTACTCATGTATAGAAGAAATTGCTCAGAAAGAGCTTTTTAAGAGAAGCCAGTTATAAATGGAGCCCTGGGATATGCTGACATTTAAAGAATATGCAGAGAAAATAGTAAAAGACCCTGAGAAGGAGCAATTCAAGAGGTAAGAGGAGACCCCCTAGAACTAAAGGAGTTTCAATCACAGAACCAGAATGATTCAACAGAAAGTGATCAGTGGTGCCAAATGTGTTCGGGAGATTAACTAAGAAAAGATTTGAAAACTTTCTATTGGACTTGGCAGTTGGGGTTATTGATGACAGCAGGCTAAGGAATATTCAATTTAAGCAATGAATTCGTCTATGTTAAAATCTAAAACCATACTGATTTATGCTTTTGTACTTTTATTCCTAAAAACTGAAAAACAAGTTACTTTTTTTCTTCCAAGTAGTAGTCCCTTCTTTTTCTTTTTAGAGAAGAGGTTCATATCGAAAATATAGTAGCTAGCTGCTCTCTTAGTGGATTTTTAAAAACTCATGCTAGGATCAAAGGACCAATAATTAAGTGTGGTTTATTGAATTGTAGGAAATTATATTTATCTAATAGAACTTCTTGCTAAACTGTGTTTTATAAACTATTTTTTTCCAGGAATTCTTTTTCAGGCTTAGAGGCAGGATGTTTTCCAAATATAGTTTATATTTCTGAAATTAGCTGTGAAAAATGTTTTCAGGAGCTTTATTTTATAGGCTAGACATTTTCATAAGAGATTCATTTACGTTAAACTACATCCAGACATTTTAGTCTATTTAATATTGTGCCATACACAAAGTGCACATGAAATTATTATTCTCTACACAAAAAACTGTATATTTTTTTCTGAAAATATTTAATGAGTTGGCAAAATTCAACTGCTTAAGCATAACATGAAGGTCAGTGTAAGTTATGTAGATGTGCATAAGATTTTATACATTTAAATATGCCTTATATTTTACTTCATAAGTAAAACAACAAAAATTCTCTTTGAAGTTGGTGGTTGCTGCTTATACTCACAAGAGAGAAAACTAAATTTTAAAGTGCTTTTCCAGTAAAAATGTTGACACAGTTTATGAGAGGAATTTTAGTCTACTGGGTAAACGAAATTCTTAGCTTTTGTGGGCTTTAAATTTTTTTCTTTCAGGGTAAAACTGTATTTTGCAGATATATATTTACTGTTGTGAAAAGGAAATTAGTTACTCTGGAATCCTGCAGAAATAATGAACTTGGTGAATAACCTGATTTTTCCCCCTTATAATATTACAGTTGGGAATACTAATGGATCCCCAAACAATATTACTCATTATGACCTCCAATTCCTACTGGAATGACAAGGAATATAAACAATGAAACTCACAAATTAAATATCTTTAGACATACTCTACACTTTTTTAACGTTGGCATCACAGCTCTTGTAGTTAAGCTCTGTTATTATATGGCTTTACTACTTAATTTTGGAAGATGTGACATCCTAGAGTTGAAAGATTGCCAAGTCCTCCTTCATCCCCAGGAGGCAACACAGTAAGAGCTCAGTCTGGAGTAAAAAAGAACAGAACTTCAACTATTTTTCACTGCTGCTATGATCTGAATATTTGCCAACCCTACACCTGAAAAAAAATATGCATGTGTTGAAATCCTAATCCTTGAGGTGATGGTATTAGGAGGTAGGGACTTTAGGAGCTGACTAAATCATGAGGGTAGAGCACTCATTGTTGGAATTAGTTCTCTTATAAAAGACACTCCAGAGATCTAGCTTGTTCCTTCACCCATGTGACGACACAGTGAGAAGGCACCCTTCTACAGATCAGAAAGTAGGCCCTCACCAGACACTGACACCGCCAGCACCTTGATCTTGAAATTCCCAGCCTCCAGAACTGTGAGAAATAAATTTCTGTTGTTTATAAGCCATGAGTTTATGGTATTTTGTTATAGCAGCCCTAATAGACTAAGATAAAAAAAAATTGGTACTGATAATGAGGTGCTGCTATAACAAATATCTAAAATACAGAAGTGGTTTTGGAACTGGGTAATGACTAGCAGCTGGAAGAGCTTTGAAATGCATGCTAGAAAAAGCCTATAGTGCCACGAATGGATCATTAAGGGCTATTCTTGTAAAAGCCCATAAAGAGAAGAGGAGAGCTTTAGAGAGAGCCTCAATCTTTGAGAATACCTAAGTAGTTGCAAACAGAATGTTCTTAGAAATATGGACAGTAAAGGCCATGAAGTCTCAGATAGAAATTGTTATTGGACAGTGTAGGAAAGTCCATGCTTGCTCGAAAGTGGCAAAAAACAAACAAAAAAACAAAACCTGACAGAACTGTACTCATGTTCCAGTGTTTTGTGGAAGATAGAACTGATAAGTGATGAAATTGGCTGTTAGGCTGAGGATATTTCTAAGCAAAGTATTGAAGGTGCAACTTGGCTTCTCTTGACTGCTAATAGAAAAATTTAAAAAGAGAAATGATACAAAGATGGAGTTGTTAATAAAAAAGAAAGCAGAACTTAACATTTTGGAAAATTCTCAGCCTATTTATATTTGAAAAAATGAGAAAGTTCAGGAGAGAATACAAAAGGTGTGGCTGAATTTGATAAGGAGATTAGTTTGATTAGTTTGAATCAGCAATTTCAATCTAAGCTATGAGCTGTTTATCAGTACAACAGGGAGATTAGACAGCTATCTAAACAGATGCCATAATATATTGTCTAAGACAATGGAAGGATGGCCTCCCAACAGCATTCTGAAGCTCCTCAGGGATTGCATAGGCCCAGAGTGCAATGGCCTAAGGACAGAACAGGGCTGCAATGGTTTGGTGCCACCCCACATTATTGGCTCTGCTTCCCACATTCTGGCACAGCAGTCCTCAACTACCCCAGATGTGTCTCCAGTGGTCCCAAGTACAGCAATGGCTATGATGGCCATCCCTCCAGAGTTCACAGGTGATAAACTTTAGCAGTGTCCAAGTGGGACTATCTCCACTGACACACAGAGTAAATGAGTCATGCTTGTGTGGCAACTTCCGCCTAAATTTCAAAGGATAGAGCTGCCTACGGACTTGGGCACATGAGCAAGGAAGAGGGCCATTGCAAGGGCAGAGATATGTTCATGGAAATATGGACAGTAAAGGCCATGAGGTCTCAGATGGAAATCATAACATGTTATCATGTTATTGGACAGTGGAGGAAAGTCCATCCTTGTTCTAAAGTGGCAAAAAAACAAAAACAAAAACAAAAACAAAAAAAACCTGGCTGAATTGTCCCCACTAAGCTGATGCCATGGCATCAGAGCTGCCCCCATGACCCCAGACCACTATAGCCACTGGCATGCAACTTCAGTCTGGAAGGGCCATAGGCACCAAACTACAATCCATGAGAACTGTGGCATGGGCTGAATCCAACAAAGCCATGGGGCAATGCCACCTAGAGCCCTGAGGACCCAATCCCTGCCCCAGTGTGTCCAGAAGGTGGAACATTGCATCAAAGATTATTCTCAAGACTTAAGATTTACTGTTGTTGGCTCTGCTGGGTTTTTTACTTACTCAAGTCCTATTACCCTTTTCTTCTTTTCTACTTTTCTTTTTTGGAATGAGAATGTCTACCCTATGGCTTGCCTGTACCACCATTGTGTTGTGTAAGCACATAACTTTCTTGATTTCACAGGTTCACAGCTGAAGAGATATTTGCCTCAGGATGAATCAATTATACCTTGAATCTCACTCATATCTGATTGAGATGATACTGAGATGAGAGTCTGGACTTTATAGACTTTTGAATTGATGCTAGAATGAGCTAAGACTTTGGTATTATTGAGATGGAATGAATATATTTTTCATGTGAGAAGGACACGAATTTGAGGAGTGGGGCAGGGAAAGAATGGGATGATCTGAATGGTTGTGTTCTTTCAAAATTTATATGATGAAGTTCTATCCCCCAAGGTGATGGTATTAGGAGGTGGGGCCTTTTCTAGTCCCTTATAAAGGACACCCCAGAAAGCTAGCTCATCCCTTCCTCCATATGAGAACACAGTGAGAGGGTGCCCTGTAGGAACCAGAAAGTGGACTCTCACTGGATGTAGAATCTGCCAGCACCTTGATCTTGAAATTCCAGCCTCCAAAATTGTGGGAAGTAAATTTCTGGTGTGTGAGACATTCTGTTTATGGTATTTTGTTATAGCAGCCTGAACAGACTAAGACAATCACTAACTATAGGCAGCACCTCAGGCAAGGGACTTTAACCTCTCTGAGTCCCAGTGTCCTCAGCCATAGTACCGCTTTTATAGAGCTGTTGACAGGAATAAATGTATGGAAAGTGTTCTGTGACATTTCACAAGTAACACAAAATTGTACACATAAGAAAAACAAGACTTGGACAAAGTTGTCTAAGTTTACAGTTTACACAGCCAGTTTTCCAAAACTCCTATCCATTGAAATATAATCATGAATCAACAAATCAGCCAAGATGGCCAAATAGGAACAGTTCCTGTCTGCAGCTTCTAGTGAGACCAATGCAGAAGGCAGGTGATTTCTGCATTTCCAACTGAGGTACCCAGTTCATCTCACTGGTTAGACAGTGGGTACAGCCCACGGAGGGTGAACAGAAGCAGGCAGGACGGGATGTTGCCTCACCTGGGAAGCACAAGGGGTCAGGAAACTCCTTCCACTGGCCAAGGGAAGCCGTGAGGGACTGTGCCTTGAGGGACGGTCCTATCTGGCCCGGATACTATGCTTTTCCCCTGGTCTTTGCAACCCACCGACCAGGAGACTCCTTCAGGTGCCTACACCACCAGGGCCCTGGGTTTCAAGCGCAAAACTGGGTGGCTGTTTGGGTAGACACCAAGCTAGCTGCGGGAGGTTTTTTTTTTGTACGTGGCACCCGGAATGCCAGCAAGACAGAATTGTTCACTCCCATGGAAAGGGGGCTGAAGCCAGACAGCCACATGGTCTAGCTCAGCAGATCCCACCCCATGGAGTCCGGCAAGCTAAGATCCACTGGCTTGAAATTCTTGCTGCCAGCACGGCAGTCTGATGTCAACCTGGGATGCTGGAGCTTGGTGGGGGGAGGGGCATCAGCCATTACTGAGACTTGACAGACAGTTTTCCTCTCACAGTGTAAACAAAGCCACAGGGAAGTTCAAATAGGATGGAGCCCACCACAATTCATTTTTTCAAATTGGGTGGAGCCCTCCACAACTCTAGCTTGCAGCTTTGCCGCTCTAGCCAAGCTGCCTCTCTAGATTCCTCTGCTCTGGGTAGGGTATCTCTGAAAGAAAGATAGCAGCCCCATTCAGGAGCTTATAGATAAAACTCCCATCTCCCTGAGACAGAGCAATTGGGAAGGGGCAACTGTGGGCGCAGCTTCAGCAGACTTAAATGTTCCTGCCTGCTGGCTCTGAAGAGAGCAGTGGATCTCCCAGCACAGCATTTGAGCTCTGCTAAGGGACAGAATGCCTCCTCATGTGGATCCCTGAGCTCTGTGCCTCCTGACTGGGAGACACCTCCCAGCAGGGGTCAACAGACACCTCATACAGGGGAGCTCCAGCTGGCATCTGATGGGTGCCCCTCTGGGACAAAACTTCCAGAGGATGGAAAAGGCAGCAATCTTTGCTGTTCTGCAGCCTCTGCTGGTGATACCCAGGCAAGCAGGCTCTGGCATGGACCTCCAGCAAACTCCAGCAGACCTGCAACAGAGGGGCCTGACTGTTGGAAGGAAAATTAACAAACAGAAAGCAATGGCATGAACATCAACAAAAGGACGTCCATGCCAAAACCCCATCCAATGGTCACCAACATCAAAGGCCAAAGGTAGATAAATCCACAAAGATAAGGAAAAACTAGCACAAAAAGCCTGAAAATTCCAAAAACCAGAATGCCTCTTCTCCTGCAGAGGATCACAACTCCTCGCCAGCAAAGGAACAAAACTGGACAGAGAATGAGTTTGGCGATTTGACAGAAGTAGGCTTCAGAAGGTGGGTAATAACAAACTCCTCCGAGCTAAAGGAGCATGTTCTAACACAGTGCAAGGAAGCCAAGAACCTTGAGAAAAGGTTAGGGGAATTGCTAACAAGAATAACCAGTGTAGAGAAGAACATAAATGACCTGATGGAGCTGAAAAACACAGCACGAGAACTTCGTGAAGCATACACAAGTATCAATAGCTGAATCAATGAAGCAGAAGAAAGGATATCAGAAATTGAAGATCAACTTAATGAAATAAAGTGTGAAGACAAGATTAGAGATAAAAGAATGAAAAGGAGTGAACAAAGCCTCCAAGAATTGTGGGACAACGTGAAAAGACCAAACCTATGTTTGATTGGTGTACCTGAAAGTGACAGGGAGAATGGAACCAAGTTGGAAAGCACTCTTTAGTATATTATTCAGGAGAACGTCCCCAACCTAGTAAGACAGGCCAACATTCAAATTCAGGAAATATAGAGAACACTACAAAGGTAGTCCTGGAGAAAAGCAACCCCAAGACACATAATTGACAGATTCACCAAGGTTGAAATGAAGGAAAAAATGTTAAGGACAGCCAGAGAGAATGGTCTGGTTACCCACAAAGGGAAGCCCATTAGACTAACAGCGGATCTCTCTGCAGAAACCCTACAAGCCAGAAGAGAGTGGGGGCCGATATTCAACATTTTTAAAGAAAAGAATTTTCAACCCAGAATTTCATATCCAGCCAAACTAAGCTTCGTAAGCAAAGGAGAACTAGAGAAGCAAGAGCAAACAAATACAAAAGCTAGCAGAAGACAAGAAATAACTAAGATCAGAGCAGAACCAAAGGAGATAGAGACCTGAAAAACCCTTCAAAAAATCAATGAATCCAGGACCTGTTTTTTTGAAAAGATTAACAAAATAGGTAGACCGCTAGCCAGACTAATAGAGAAGAAAAGAGAGAAGAATCAAATAGACACAATAAAAATGATAAAGGAGATATCACCACTGATCCCACAGAAATACAAACTACCATCAAAGAATACTATAAACACCTCTATGCAAATAAATTAGAAAATCTCGAAGAAATGAATAAATTCCAGGACGCATAAACCCTCCCAAGACTAAACCAGGAAGAAGTCAAATCCCTGAATAGACCCATAACAAATTCCGAAATTGAGGTAGTAATTAATAGCCAATGAAACAGAACAGAGGCCTCAGAAATAACACCACAAAACTACAACCATCTGATCTTTGACCAAATCTTTAACAAAAACAAGCAATGGGGAAAGGATTCTATATTTAATAAATGGTGTTGGGAAAACTGGCTAGCCATATGCAGAAAACTGAAACTGGACCCCCTCCTTACACCTTATACAAAAATTAACTCAAGATGGATTAAAGACTTAAACATAAGATCTAAAACCATAACATCTCTAAAAGAAAACCTAGGAAATACCATTCAGGACATAGGCATGGGCAAAGACTTCATGACTAAAACACCAAAAGCAATGGCAACAAAAGCCAAAATTGACAAATTGGATCTAATTAAGCTAAAGAGCTTCTGGACAGCAAAATAAACTATCATCAGCGTGAATAGTCAATTTACAGAATGGGAGAAAATTTTTGCAATCTATCCATGTGACAAAGCGCTAATATCCAGAATCTACAAAGAACTTAAATTTACAAGAAAAAAGCAACCCCATTAAAAAGTGGTGAAGGATATGAACAGACCCTTTTCAAAAGAAGACATTTATGGGGCCAACAAACATATGAAAAAAAGCTCATCATCACTGGTCATTAGAGAAATGCAAATCAAAACCACAATGAGATACCATCTCATGCCAGTTAGAATGGTGATCATTAAAAAGTCAGGAAACAACAGATGCTGGAGAGGATGTGGAGAAATAGGAATGCTTTTACACTGTTGGTGGGAGAGTAAATTAGTTCAATCATTGTGGAAGACAGTATGGCGATTCCTCAAGGATGTAGAACCAGAAATAGCATTTGACCCAGCAATCCCATTTTTGGTATATGTGCATAGGATTATAAAACATTCTACTATAAAAAACGCATGCACACATATGTTTATAGCAGCACTGTTCACAATAACAAATAATTTGAACCAACCCAAATGCCCATCAAGAATAGACTGGATAAAGAAAATGCAGCACGTATATAACATGGAATACTATGCAGCTATAAAAAAAGGATGAGTTCATGTCCTTTGCAGGGACACGGATGAAGCTGGAAACCATCATTCTCAGCAAACTAACACAGGAACAGAAAACCAAACACCGCATGTTCTCACTCATAAGTGGGAGTTGAACAATGAGAACACATGGACACATGGAGGGGAATATCACACACTGGGGCCTGTCGAGGGGGTTTGGGGACAAGGTGAGGCATTGCATTAGGAGAAATACCTAATGCAGATGACGGGTTGATGGTTGCAGCAAACCACCATGGCACATGTATACCTACGTAACAAAGCGGCATGTTCTGCACATGTATCCCAGAACTTAAAGTATTAAAAAAAATTAGCAAGTATTTAGATTCCATAACAGGTACAAACTATAGTAGGTACTGTAGATAAAAAGATGAATATAACACAATCTTGGAAATTATTGTTTCTTTGAGGGAGATAATGAGTATAGTCTAAGAATTTAATTGACATTTAAAAGCAATGTTGTGGAATAATTCATGATTAATTGTGTGGTAATTTTTATAGACATTATACTCATTTAAGTAGAAGACAGAGTCATTGATTGAGATGCTGTCTACTATAACTTGATTCGCTTGTCAGAGTTTCTGTAAAGCTTGAAGTGCCTTATGCCAAACAGGGAAAATATACATTTACAGAGATAATGGTAAAAATACTTATTGTATGTATTTTTTATCTAATTCATGTTTTAATACCAGGCTGTATTTAAAATAAATAATATGTAATGGCTCCATTGGCTACTTTTATATAATTTGGTATTTATTAGCTAATTGTTCAAATCAACTGGACTCCTTTGTAGTGCTCTGTGACCTGTGGCTCTGGAGTTCAGCAGAGGGATGTATACTGCAGACTGAAAGGTGTTGGTCAGGTGGTTGAAGAAATGTGTGATCAGTCCACCCGACCTTGTTCTCAGAGGCGATGTTGGAGTCAGGACTGTGTGCAGCACAAGGGGATGGAAAGAGGGAGGCTGAATGTGAGTATCGACATGTAAATTTTCAAAGACACTGCATATAAGAATGTGTTATTCATTTGGTTATTGCATTTCTAGTGTTCAACATCATGTGAGAGAAAAGATTCACATCAACGAATGGAGTGCACAGATAACCAAATCAGACAAGTGAATGAAATAGTCTATAATTCTTCAACCATATCTCTTACATCCAAGAATTGCAGGAACCCTCCTTGCAATTACATTGTGGTAACAGCAGACTCATCACAGGTAAGGTAAAGAAAGGAAGTTGAGAATTTTTGCTCCTTGATAAAACAGCTGGATCTACAATTTGACACAGCTGAAACTGGGTATAAAATTTGAATATGAGGGCAGATGATGGTATGCATATCAATCTAAGGAATGAGACCACTGACAGTTGGATGGTGCAAATAGAGTAATAGTGACATATGTGTTAAACTCTAGTGCAAGTCTCAAGTGTCAGTAGGTGCCAACTGTGAAACCAACCACCAGGAACAATTTGGCAAACTGGCACCGTACAGTTGTCCACTTTTTAGAAATGGCTTTATCGAGGTGTAATTGATGAACCATAAACTAAATATATTCAAAATATATAGCTTAATAAGTTTTAACACATGTACACAGCCATAAAACCAGTACCATTTTGATTTCCATCACTCCCAAAAGTTTCCTTGTGCTGCTTTATAATCTCTTTCCCCCCTCTCTTTTCCCTCCTCACCCAATAAGTGACCTTACCTGTTTTCTATATTAGTGATCTATCACTATACTTGTTTGCATTTTCTAGAGTTTTATATAAGTGGATCATACAGTACATACTTTTTTTGTCTGCTGTAATGTAAGTATTTTGAGATTTGATCAGGTTGTAGTATGTATCAATAGTTTTTTCTTTTATTGTTGAATAATATTCCATTATATAGATGTCTTTACATTTGCTTTTCTTTTCTTTCTGATGTCTGATCCCCATCCAGTCTGTTTTTTTATCTAAGCCATTATCATCTTCATCTTTAGAGGTTTAATTTCAGCTTTTTTATATCTTCCATATCTCTACTTAACATTTTGAACATATGAAACATAGTTACTTTTATTTTTGTAGGTAAAATTTTCCAATTTTTATTTTATTTTTTTCTTGAATTTTTTTAAAAATTATCTTTTTAACATCTTCTTCTGGACATCTAATTCTAACATCTATGCACATGTTTATAATTTAGCGAATTTTAGTATAATCACCTGTATGTGCAAGCATCACCATGATCTAATCCCAGGCCTTTTTATCACTCCCAAAAAAATATCTGCACCCATAAGTAGTAATTCCTTATTCTCACATTTTCTCCTAGTCTCAGACAACCACTAATCTGCTTTCTGTATCTGTGGATTTGCCTGTTCTGCACATTTGGTATAAATGGAATCATACCATATGTGGTCTTTTGTGTCTAGCTTCTTTCACTTAGCATGATATTTTAAAACTTTATACAAGTTTTATCATACATCAATGCTTCATTCCTTTTTATGATAAATAATATTCCATTGTAGGAATATACTATATTTTGTCTATTTATTTGTCAGTTGATGGACATTTGGATTGATTCCAATTTTGACGTTTCAATAATGCTGTTAGGAACATTTGCATACAAGTTTTTGTGTGGATGTATGTTTTCAATTTTCTTGGGCATATACCTAGGGATAGAATAGCTGGGTATCATAACTCTATTTAATATTTTGAGGAACTGCCAAACTGTTTTCCACAGTGGCCACACCATTTTTCTTTCCTATCAGCAATGTATAAAGGTTCCTATTTCTCTCTCCATATCATCATCAGTCATCAACAGCACTTGTTATAATCCATCTTTTTTTTAACATAACCATCCTAGTATGTATGAAATGGTATCTATTTTATGTTTAAGTTGCATTTCTCTAATGACTAATGATGTTGAGTATCTTTTTGTGTGTGTTTTAGGTATTTGTATATCTTTAGATAAATGTCTATTCAAATCTTCTGCCCATCTTTTTTTTTTTTTTTTTTTTTTTTGAGATGCAGTCTTGTTCTGTTGCCCAAGCTGGAGTGCGGTGGTATAATTACAGCTCACTGAAGTCTTGACCTCCTAGGCTCAAGCAATCCTCCCACCTAAACTTGCTGAGTAGCTGCGACTACAGCCATGTGCCACCATCTCTAGCTTTTTTTTTTTTTTTTGTAGAGATGGGGTCTCCCTGTGTTGCCCAAGCTGGTTTCTTACTCCTGGGCTCAAGGGATCATCCCTCCTGGACCTCCAAAAGTGCTGGGACTATAGCATAAGCTACCATGCCTGGCTGCTCATTTTTTCACTGGGTGAGTTGTAAATTATTTATATATTCTGGGTACCAACTTTTATCAGTTAGATGATTTGCAAATATTTTCTCCAATTCTGTGGGTTATCTTTTCTCTTAATAGTATGCTTTGATGAAGTGAAATTTATTTTGTTTTTTGTTTTAGTTCTTTGGCTTTAAGTATCATATCTAAGAAACTATTGCCTACTTCATGCTCACAAAGATATATATCTATGTTTTCTTTGTAGGCTTTTATAATTGTAGCTCAGACAATTAGGAGTTTGATACATTTTGAGTTAATTTTTGTATGTGATGTGAGGTAGGGGTCTAATTTCATCCTTCTGCATGAAAAGATTATTCTTTCCCCCATTGAATTAGCTTGGCATCCTTGTCAAAAATCAATTGACAATTGACCATAAATGTATTGGTTTATTTCTGAACTCTCAATTCTATTTTCTTGATCTATATGCCTATCAATATATTATTACCATGTAGTCTTGATGACTGTAATTTTATAGTAAGTTTTGAAGTCAGGAAGTATGAGTGAACCAACTTTTTTCCTTCCTCTTTAAGATTACTGGGCTATTCTGAGTCTCTTACATTTCCATGTGAATTTTAGGACCAGTTTGTCAAGTTCTATGTAAGAGCCAGCTGAGATTTTGTTAGAGGTTGCAATGACTCTTGTTCAACTTGGTAGATATTATTATCTTAATAATACTGTCTTCTTATCTACGAATGTGGAATGAATTTCCATTAATTTAGGTTTTAACTTATTTCAAGTGTGTCTTATAGTGTGCAAATCTTGCACTTCTTTTAATTTATTCCTGAGTATTTTTTATATTCTGTAAATGGAATTGTTCTATTAGTTTCATTTTTCTTATTATTCGTTGCTTGTGTATAGAAATAGAATTGTTTTTTGTGTATTGAAAATTTTTTGGGGGATTTAATTATTTAGTGTGTGGATTAAATGGGATTTTCTACTTACAATATCATCTCATCTACAAATAGAGATAGTTTTACTTCTTTCTTTAAAGATGGATGCCTTTTGTACCTTTCCTTGTCCAATTTCCCTGTCTAGAAATTCCAGAATAATGTTAAATAGAAGTGGTAAAAACAGACATTTCAGTCTTGTTCCTGCTCTCTGTAGGAAAACTTTTAGTTTTCCTAATTCAGTATGCTAACTATGGATTTTCTGTAGATTCCCTTTATCAGATTGAAGAAGTACCCTTCTAGTCCTAGTTTGCTTCATGTTTATATTATGAAAGTGTGTTAGATTTTGTCAAATGTTTAGTCTACATCTACTGAAATTATCATATTTTTTGTCCATTCTTCTATTAGTATGGTGTATTACATAGATTGACTTTCATATGTTACAATAATCTTGCATTCCTGGGATAAATCTTACTTCGTCATGGTGTATAATCCTTTTTATGTGTTGCTGGAATTGTTTTGCTAGTGTTTTGTTGTAGAACTTTACATCTATATTCTTAAGAACTACTGGTCTATAGTTTTTTTTTTTGTGATGTCTGTCTGGATTTGGGAAAAACTGGCTTCATAGGATGAGTTAGGCAGTGCTCCTTTTTATTCTATCTGTGGAATACTTTTGGCAGACTTGGTGCTAATTCTTCTTTAAGCATTTGGTCCTGGGCTTTTCTTGTGTGAAGTGTTTTGGTTACAAATTTAATCTCTTTACTTGTGATAAGTCTATTCAGATTCTTCCTCCTCCCCAGGGTTTGTTGTTGCTACTGTTTGTTGTTGTTTGTTTTTTAGTGACTTTTCTGAACTAACTGTTAAGTCTATATTGTTTGTCATACATGGCCATTGAAGTCTCTGCTCACTTAGTTTAGTTGTCAGCTATGACTAGACAGTAATTTCCTTAATATCTGGAACCAATAATTTTGGTTCCCTAGCCTTTGCCAAGGTACTGTGTGTTGGGGGGTTGGGAGTAGGGTGTGGCCTTCAACACTCATCAGGTTGTTGACAACTGTTCCTTAATCTTAACTTTCTGCTTGTGTAGAGCCTTGAGGTCAGCTGGAAGAGAGGCTGCAGGCCCTCCTCAGATGCTTCCTGAGCTTGCAGACAGACCTGGACATGTGTACAATCTGATGCATGTTCACGGCCATCTAGATCCCATTAATACACTGGAGCTTTTCAAAGCTCTGATGGACATCTTATTCCCTAGCTTTTCCTTTTAAGCCTTTTTAGCTAGCCTGTTGTTGCTCCAACTGTTATTCAGCATCCTGGAAACTGCAAAGTTAAACAATGGTTTTTAATTGAGCGCAACAAATGTCCCTAGATTTTTAGCACTGAGCAGGTCAGGTCAAATAAAGACATTCTTGCAAGTGGGGTCTTCCAGAAAACCACTAAACAGTTCAAATAATGACAATTCTCTGGGAATGAGGCTTTGAATGATATCCAAGCCTGTTCTGCTCCCCTCCAGTGGCTGCCGGAATTCTGGTTTCACCATAATCACAGGGCTGTTGATTTTGAAGGTTACCATGGAGCTAGAAAGAAGAGAATGGAAATAGGAGAAGTTAAACCATCACAAAACTTGCTCTTCTTACCAAAAGTTAGCCATGTTTATTGAATAAATGCCTTCTGGATTGCTGCAAGTCTTTGGTCAGTTTCTAGAGTTCTGAAAAAACTGATCGGGCAAATTTTGCCCATTTTGTCACTGCTATTATAGAAGAGAGAATTTTTAGATGTCCTTACTCTTCCATTTTCACAGATGTCACCCCTCTAGGGATGTTTTGATGGACAGGTTTTTTCTTCATTATGAGTCTTATTTTCCAGGTTCTTTGCATTCCAATTAATTTTCTGTTGCATGTCAGCCATGAATTTTACCTTTTTGCTGACTAGATATTTTTTATTCCTATACATGTATTTTGAGTTTTGTTATGGGTTGCATTAATTTTGTTGGAGAACAGTTTGACTCTCTCTTGCCTTGCACTTAAGATTTTGTAGGCAGATCAGTATATTGTTTAATCTAGGGTTAACTGTTCCTCTCTACTGTGGCAAGACCCTTTTGAGTACTTTACCTATTTCCTCATGTATTTAAATTTTCCAGTCTAGCTGGAGGGAATAGGCACTATATTTGGTTCTGTGTGATCATTAGAGAAAGTAACTTCTAAGCCTTTTGTTTGGTTAATTGCCTTACTTTGGTTGGTGTCCTCACAGGTATGTACACACTGCTGGTCAGAGCTCTGCTGCCTTCCTTTCGTTGTGCCAAGACCTGGAAAGTTTTTCAAAGCAGTAGGCTGGAATGATTTTATAGTGTCACTTTGTTTCTCATCTGTCATGGATTACTATTCTTTACTGTCCAATGTTGAGTGTCTTAAAAGCCATTGCTTTATATATTTTGTTCAGATGTTTTAGTTGTTTAAAGTTAGAAGGTAAATCTATTCCTTGTTACTCCTCTTTTGCTAAAAGCAGAAATCTATTTGCCCATTTTTGGATTGGGGCTTTAATTTACACCTAAATCACTTACCTATTTTAGTCAAGTGTTATTAGACTTTACAGTATATCTATGAAGATACATGTGTGCTAACTTATACATAGTTACCAGTGATCTAAGGCTAATAGATGCCCTTTATTTCCAGTAAGGACCCTCAAAATGTTTTATTCCTCCAATGCTGTGCCTATTGGGAGATATAGTTTCATACAATTAAGATGGTAATGTAATGAAAACACACACACACACACACGCACACACAGGCACTACAGCTAGAAAATCTAGCCTGGATCTGAGTTTCTTTCCTTTATTGGTACAACTCTGGGAAACTTGTCTAATGTCTGAACCTATGTTTGCTCATCTGTAAATGAAGCTAATTAAATAGGATTGTTGTGGAAATGACACAGCATAATATATATTAAGCATCTGACAAATATTAGGCCCTGGCTAAAGTTAATGACATTTTCTTTCTTGTAATTATGTATTTTTCAGTGTGCAAACAACTGTGGATTTAGTTACAGACAAAGGATTACATATTGCACCGAGATCCCATCTACTAAGAAACATAAGCTCCATCGACTTCGGCCTATAGTTTATCAAGAATGCCCTGTGGTGCCTTCCTCTCAGGTTTACCAATGCATTAACAGCTGTTTGCATTTGGCCACTTGGAAAGTTGGAAAATGGAGCAAGGTCGGTGTACAATTATGAATTTTAAAACTTCTGAATAAGACTTTCTAGGTGTGGGAAATCTGGTAATCTGTTTGTATGTCTAACTAGATCCTCAGAGTTGCCTCAGACCACTATTTTCTAAAATCCACATTACCAGTTATTTATATAAATATTTTATCTCTTGTTCGATGCTTGCTATAACTCGCTTAAAGCAGAGACCATAACTCATACTTATTTCTGTTCCTTAGATAACTTAGCACAGTGGCTTGCACTTTGAGTAAGTGCTTAAGAAATATTTATTGGTTAAGTGAAGAAGTAAATAAATCTAATATATGAGTAATAAAAGTTATTTATATCATATTCTATTTCCAATTTAATTGATAGAAAGCAAGTAAATATCACTTTGCAAACTTAGCATATAACTTAATGAGATAGTTTTAATTACCATCACTGACTAATGTTTATTAAGTATTTACAATGTATTGTTGCTAACTGCACAAAATGAATTAAAAGAAGCCAGTAACTGAGAAATAATAGATTCAGGCTCATGCCTAAGGATTTTTCCCACCGGCGACTATCCAGCCCCCAGCATAGTTTTGTGTCTTCTGTGTATCTAGCCACTACTGACCCTCAGTGTGCTCCAGAAATACCTGGTCTAAGAAAAGGAGACTTGGATTTTATGGCCTTAAGATTCATAATATAGTTTGCCTTCAAATTTTACTCTTTTCACAGTGCTCAGTGACTTGTGGAATTGGGATAATGAAGAGACAAGTGAAATGCATTACCAAACATGGTTTGTCCAGTGACTTATGTTTAAACCATTTAAAACCAGGTGCTCAAAAGAAATGTTATGCCAATGACTGTAAGTAGTAGACTTCAAAAATCTAATACCTAAGGGTTTCTAATAAGTTTCAGTTAAAATAAATATCTGTAGTAGTTTCACACTCCACAAAACAAAGTGTCAGATATTCAGAGTGTAGCAATATTTCTATGATTAAGTTCTTGCTGTGTTTGTAATTTGCTCTGTGTTAAGTTGTGTTAATTTGTCTTTGAAGGTAAATCATTTACCACCTGCAAAGAAATTCAAGTGAAAAACCACATTAGAAAGGATGGTGACTATTACCTTAACATTAAGGGAAGAATAATAAAGGTATTATGAAAACAGTTCCTTTTTTATTTTAACATTGATCATTGACTTTGGAAAAAGTTTTTCTAGATGTTTACATTTTTTCTTTAGATTTATTGTGCAGACATGTACTTGGAGAACCCTAAGGAATATTTAACACTGGTCCAAGGTGAAGAAAACTTTTCTGAAGTGTATGGCTTTAGGTACGAGATGTGTTTTGGTCTATCTGAGCATTTTCATGGTCCTCCAAGAGAATTGGAACTTCTAGCCCTCAGAGTGATACTTGAATAGCTTACATGTGAGACAAATAATGTAGGAGCAGGTAGACATGTTAGGACCTAAACTAGATGTTGTTAATGCCTGTTCAGAAATAAAGCCTTGAATACTAACATGTATTGTTAATATTGACTATTAACAGAGAGATTGACTAAGAATACTGTGGGTGAGAAGTCGGACATAGAGAAGGGAAGAATTTAAGAACTATGTGCATTTTCATAAAGTCAAACTAATTCCAGTAATCAAAGCTAGAAGAATGCAGTTGAATTATTTTTCTACAAGCTCTTCTTAGATGTTTCATTGAAAATGTTGTATGTTCACCTTAAGTGATTTTTGCTTCTTTCTTGTTTAACTTGTTGACACTATAATATTAAAGAGCAGGAGTGTGTTTTATTTTTCTACTCCCAAAGTTTGTCTACATTATGGCCTCGTAACTGCATCTAATACTAAAATATCCCAATGTTGTTACAGACTAAAAAATCCATATCAATGTCCTTTTAATGGGAGTAGAAGGGAAGACTGTGAATGTGACAATGGACACTTAGCTGCTGGATACACTGTTTTCAGCAAAATAAGAATTGATCTCACTTCCATGCAAATTAAAAGTAAGTGCTCAATCTATATTTTAAAATCAAAAAGCCTCCATTTGCTTATGAACGTCAAACAATATGTTGGTATATGTTGTAGCCAGGGTACAGAGAAGGACCTGACATTGTGCAAAAATTACTTACTTTTTTTAAAAACAGTTAGCTACATACTTCCTCTGCAATGACATGCACCATGGGGCTTTTTTTTTTTTTTTTTTTTTTTTGAGACGCAGTTGCACTCTTACTGCCCAGGCTGGAGTGCAATGGCATGATCTTGGCTTACTGCAACCTCCACTTCCTGGGTTCAAGCGATTCTCCTGCCTCAGCCTCCCCAGTAGCTGGGATTACAGGCACACGCCACCATGCCCAGCTAACTTTTTGTATTTTTAGTAGAGATGGGGTTTCACCATATTGGTCAGGCTGGTCTTGAACTCCTGATCTCAGGTGATCCACCTGCCTTGGCCTCCCAAAGTGCTGGGATTACAGGCGTGAGCCACCACTCCCAGCTGGGGACTCTTAATAAAAATGTAATGACAGTAACAAGTAAGATACTGCCCTTCCAAGATAAAACCCTCTACCTTAAAATCCTCAGGTACATTAAGGATAAGAAAGTTAATATCCTCGGTCTACTTGTGGAAGCTTTTTGCAGAGTTTAAAGTAATCATTTACATTAGTTTCTAATGATAATTTATCAGGTATTTTCCCATACATTATCTCATTTGACCTTTTTAACACTCTTGTATTAGTTAAGGCAGATACTATATCACAATGTTGTAAGTAATATGGAAGTTAAGCAATTTGTTCCATTCATACAGTTAGTACTGGCATTAGGGAAAAAAAGTCCTACTCATAGACCTTAGATTATAGATCATACTGCTTATCTAGAAAGTAATTTATAATACAATCAAGTCAAAACGTATTTATAGAACTTCATATGCACCTGGCAAATGCAGGCTGCTGTCCAGAAAGTTACATATCTACATGAAGAGGCAAAAAAGTGCATTTCACTAGCAGAGACTCCATCTCAATTGCCATTGAATCATCAGTGCCTAGCATGGTGCATAAGTCATAGAAAGCAATAAAAAAAATTAAGACAGTATATGCATGAATATATAATATATAAATTATAGTCATAAAATTATGAACCATTATTATTAATAATGATGGCTATCATTTACTGAACATCCACCATCTACTACAGTGTGGAAGCATTATATTACTATGGTTACAATAATAAACTCTAGACTGTCTGGGTGTAATTCTTTATTTATCAGCTCTGTGACTTTGGGCATATGTCTTTAAGCCTCGGTTCCCTCATGTGTAAAATGAGAAACTATTACTAAGGTTTTTTTCTTCATTTCCTTTTTCTTTCCTTCTTTTTTTATTCTTGTTTGGTGAGGATTAAGAGATGATATTTCGGCCGGGCGCGGTGACTCACGCCTGTAATCCCAGCACTTTGGGAGGCCGAGGCGGGCGGATCACGAGGTCAGGAGATCGAGACCATCCCGGCTAAAACGGTGAAACCCCGTCTCTACTAAAAATACAAAAAATTAGCCGGGCGTAGTGGCGGGCGCCTGTAGTCCCAGCTACTTGGGAGGCTGAGGCAGGAGAATGGCGTGAACCCAGGAGGCGGAGCTTGCAGTGAGCCGAGATCGCGCCACTGCACTCCAGCCTGGGCGACAGAGCGAGACTCCGTCTCAAAAAAAAAAAAAAAAAAAAAAAAAAAGAGATGATATTTCTAACATATCTAGTCATTGTTTTACATATAATACAAGCTTGTCAAACCCACAGCCTGCAGCCCTCATGTGGCCCAGGGCAGCTTTGAATGTGGCCCAACACAAATTTGTAAACTTTCTTAAAACATTTTGAGATTTTTTTTGTGACTTTTTTAGCTCATAAGCTATTCTTAGTGTTAGTGTATTTTATGTGTGGCCCAAGACAATTCTTCTTCCAGTGTGGCCCAGGGAAGCCAAAAGATTAGACATCCCTGATAGAGTACATGCTCTATAAATATTGGTTATTATTTAATGATGTATATGGTTATAAGTATGTTATTAGCGCTCTAAGTTTCTAATAGACACTCAATAGCTTATTTGCTGTTAACTAGACTGCTTTTTAACAAAGCTGCCATTTTGCCAGGCATTGGTCTGGGCCCAGAGCATGCAAGCATGCAATGTCAAATATATACAGTTTCTCCTCTCTTTTTCTTCCTTAAACTTGCATGGTAAAAATCCAGCCTTGATTAAATTAAATCTCCACCCATTCTGTGCTTGCAGCATAAAACTGAATGTGGCAAATAATACACAGCCCTTCTGACTGATACCATTTTAAACACATGAGTACTAAGCTTACACGGATCCATGGCACTGCCAAATAATCCTACTGCACTTCCCTAGTCCATTCTCTCTCCTACTTTTCTAAATGTCTAACTTATACCTTCTCCTGTAGCTTCAAATTTCAAAATTTTTAATACCTCCACTCTACTAACTCACTGCTGGTGATCTTGCTCGCTATTTCACTGAGAAAATAAGAATCAGAAGGGAATTGCTCAAGTTCCCACTGCCACATCTACCAGCCTACCTGAATCTTTACCTATCTCCTTGCTTTCTCCTGTTTACTCTGGATGAACTCTTCATGCTCCCATCCAAGGCAAATCCTGCTCCTTGTCCTCTAGGCTCAGTGCCTTGTACCTACTCAAGAACGTTATTTCAGCATATTTCCTAATCTCTCTCACATCCTCAATTCTGCTGCTGAATCATTTAAATTCTTCATAGAGAAACATTTTATTTCTTTCGTCATAATCACAAGCAAATCATCTTGACCTCTACCTTTCCAGCCAGCCACTGACCAGTTTCTTTGTGTTCATTTATAGTAAAATTTCTTAAATGAGTTATAATCTGCACTCTCCAATTCTCTTTCCCCATGCTATACTCTAATCAATCTCTTATTCATGTCACTTCCAGGAAACAGTCCTTATCAAAGTCATCAATAACCTGTTTCCTTAAATTCAATGATAAAGTCTTGTTTTCCATCTTACATGATGCATCAGCAGCATTTGGATCCCAGGACACCATCCTCTAATGGTTTTGTGTCTTTCTTGACCACTCTTTCTCCTGTCTTTCTCACTGTTTCTCGACTTGGCAAGTTATTCTTCATCTTCTACAACTCTGAATGTTGAGGAGCTATAGGATTCAGTTGTTATTTGGGAATCTCATTAAATTTATAGATTTCAAGTACCATCTATTAAATGACAGTCCCAAATGCACATTTCCAGCTTGGATTGCTACCCTAACCTCCAAAATCCAACTGTCTACTCAGCATATTCATATGAATGTCTAATAGGCATGTCAAACTCAATGTATCCAAAACTGAACTTCTAACATTTCCTGCCAAACCTGCTGTCAAACCCAAATGTTTACCACTGCAGTAAATGCCACCAATAATATTCTACTTAGTCTAGCTAAAACCTAGCAACATCTTCAACTTCTACCTTTCTTCCACACCCACATGTAATTCATCATCAACTTCTGTCAGGTGAATTTTCAATGTGCATGCTGTTATGGACAAAATTGTGCATTTCACTGGTCAACAAGAGTCACCATGACCTTTCCACCTCTATTCCCTCTCAGTTTTCTGCTGCCCTGAGCCCCATGATCACTCCTACTACAGACACAGTGGCCTGTTTGCTGTTCCTTGAACACACCAGGCATGCCCCCATCTTAAGGCCTTCGCACTTACTGTTCCATCTGCCGGGAACATTCATCTGTAGCTGTCTGTGTGGTTTACCCCTTCATTTCTTTTGGGTCTCTGCTGAAATTTATCTTCTAAATAAGACCATCCAGAACCACTCTCCACCACTAAATTCTCTTCCTCCCCATTCTATTATCTGCTTTATTTTCTTTCCATAGCAAGTATCACCCCTAACATACTGTAATATTTGTTTTATAACTTGTCTCTTCCTGGTAAGACTCAGGTTCCATTGGCCTCTGTTTCACCCACTGTTGTGTTCGCAATATCTATAATACTGCCCAATGCAAAATATATTGTAAATAAGTATCTGTTGAATTAAAAGTCCTCGCTTTTCTCAAGAGGTTTATAGGAACAGATAGTTTGAACAATCTCAAGACAACTTTGAGTTAACAAAAGAGGCAAAAAAATGAGTTTTAGGAGGAGGGAGAAGCATGAACAAAAGCATGGAAGGGAGAAGCATTTTGGCGATATCAGAGAATAAAAAGCAGTCTAGTTTTGTCTAACATAAATCAAATGTAGGTTGGGGGATGGTAGCTTATTAGAAAAGTTCGCAGGGAGCAGATCATGAAGAACAGTGCATACTAAACTATACAATTGAATTTTATCTTGCAAGTTATAGGAACCATTGGAATAAAGGCATAAAGGCATAAGCAGGGGAAGGAATAGAGTTGGTTGGAGGCAGAACAGATTGTATCCATGAAAAATGATTAGGAAGCGAATGTAACAATTCAGATAAAAAGTGATGAGTACTGGGAACATGGGTTAGGATACCTATTTGAGAAATATTAAAGAGGTAGACACTACAGGATTTTCTGATAGAAGGGGTGTGAGAATTAGTGACATGGAATATTTAGAAAGGTTTCTAAAATAACAAGACAGATGGTAGTACAGTTTAGTGAAATGGGAAATAGAGCAGGGCAAATAAATTTGGAGAAAAAGATAATGCATTTAGCTTTGAACATGTTAAATTACAGATATCTGTAGGTCATCCAAGTAATGATGCCCAATAGGAATTTGATATATGTTCTGTAACTCATCAGAGTCAGGTGGACTGGAATATATACTTATGAGTCATCATTGTGTAATTGGCTGATGAAACTGGCTGTTGACTGACATGCTTTTGGAGTTAGTAACAATAGATGCTTTGAAAGTTGTGTCTCTGCTCTGCCCCAGCATAATCCACAAATGCCACAAATAAATAGTGGTGTGCAGATGAATGACGACCAGTTATCCAGGGAAGAAAAAGTCTGATTTGTGGTGTCAGGCACTAATATATACATGGTGTATGTATTCCCACCCTGACCAATCATGAGCTACCAACATGACCTCATTGTACCTGGGCTTGGGAAGAAATGCACAGAGTTGGCTCTCACTATTTGGTACAAGCTGGCTCTGGTAAACCATGGAGAGCTTCCTGGTTTTTGAAACTGCCCTTTGGAGATATGACAAATATTTCCAGAAATGCTACCTTTGGGAATTGCCTCTGAAGGACTGATGTCATCCTGGGACATGCAGTGATTTTGCAGTCTTGAAAGTGAAGAGATTTGGAATACATAGTGGAGGTGACAGCCACTGGCTAGATGATTTGGTTGGGATAATATTTGATTCAAACATGAATAGGTGATTGAAGCAGCTGACTTTTAGTGTTCCTTCCAGCCTGTTTTAATCCAATGGCTCTATTTTTGATACTTTATGTAGACTCTTCAGCATTATTACCAGTCAGGAAATTTTGCTAACACTGTTAGCAAAAGTAAGTTTGAAAAAAATAAAAAGAATAACATAATGCAATAAGACACGAAAAAAAGAAAATGGCATACTTTTTTGTGGAGAGATTTTGAATTACCTAAATGAATTTTTGTATGTGCTGTTTATAAGCATTCAATTTTATTGTTTTGTCATTTATGTTTACATAACCCTTTTTTCTCCAGTGATTTTGCTCCTGACCCCACTTTACCTATTTCAGATATTCTATGACTTCAAATGTAATAATGCATTTATTTCGTTTTAACTCTTCTGTTTAATTACAAATGTGCTTGCCCTTTGTTAGGGCAATTTATGATATGAACATTTTTATATTAAACAAAATTTGTTCAATGAGAGCTTATTCTATGATATATACCAGAATTGTGGCATTTGTGCTTAAAATTTTAAAATTAATATATAAATATGTATATTTACTAAGTAAGTAATAAGAAAACTCTGTGTTTGACAACAACGATTGCATTATTGTCTCCATGCTAAAGAGTTTTATTTATTATTTTCTAGCTACGGACCTTCTTTTTTCCAAAACAATATTTGGAAATGCAGTTCCATTTGCCACAGCTGGAGATTGCTACAGTGCTTTCAGATGCCCACAGGTATTTCATATTTGTTTGATTAATTTTCTTTCTTTGTGAAAAAAATTATAGCTTCTCTTCATTCATTTTTT